>NC_000017.11:5036565-5188080 GCF_000001405.40 Homo sapiens | reverse complement strand
AAGCAGTAAGGCCACTGTCTTTCAGTTGCAGGAGAGGGTATGGTATTTAAATGAAATCCAAGGCCAGGTGCAGTGCCTCACACCTGCAATCCCAGC
Source organism: Homo sapiens (assembly GCF_000001405.40). Lineage (NCBI taxonomy): Eukaryota > Metazoa > Chordata > Mammalia > Primates > Hominidae > Homo > Homo sapiens. The sequence goes on along the minus strand of NC_000017.11, from coordinate 5,187,984 downwards.
ACTTTGGGAGTCCAGGGCAGGATGGCCTGAGCCCAGGAGTGTGAGACCAGCCTGGGCAACATGGTGAGACCATATCTCTAAAAAAAAAAAAAAAAAAGGAAATCCAGCCTGGATATGGAGGTCTGTTCTATGGACACATTACTTAATATTAAAGGGTAAGTATTAATAGTAATAATAACAGCAGCTGACACATAGTGCTTTCTGTATGCAAAGCACTGTTCTAAATGTTTTATGTGTATTTATATATATTTGATTCTCATAACAACTCTATGAGGTAAATACTATTATTATCTCCATTTTATAGATGACGAAGCTAGGGCACTGAGAGCTCCAGTGATTTGCCTGAGGTTTCCCCATCATTAAGTGGTGGAGCCAGGTTTCAAACTCAGGCAGTTTGCCTTTCAGTCCATGCTGTTAATCACTGTGCCATGTTGCTGCTCATTCACTCCAAGAAGATTAATGACTAGAGTCCCTATCAGCAGGACCAAAATAAAATGACTCTCCCAAGGAGCTCAGAAATGTGTTTTTGTGACTGACTGATATGGTTTGGCTCTGTGTCCCCACCCAAATCTCATCTTGAATTGTACTTCCATAATTCCCATATGTTGTGGGAGGGACCTGGTGGGAGATAATTTGAATCATGGGGGTGGTTCCCCCATACTGTTTTCATGGTAGTGAATAAGTCTCATGAGATCTGATGGTTTTATCATTGGTTTCCGCTTTTGCATCTTCCTCATTTTCTCTTGCCACCACAATGTAAGAAGTGCCTTTTGCCTCCTGCCATAATTCTGAGGCCTCTCAAACCATGTGGAACTGTAAGTCCAATTAAACCTCTTTTTCTTCCCAGTCTCGGGTATGTCTTCATCAGCAGCATGAAAACATACTAATACAGTAAATTGGTGCCAGGGGTGCTGCTGAAAAGACATCCAAAATGTGGAAGCAATTCTGGAGCTGGAGAACAGGCAAAGGTCGGAACAGTCTGGGGGGCTCAGAAGAAGACAGGAAAATGTGGGAAAGTTTGGAACTTCTAGAGACTTGTTGAGTGGCTTTGACCAAAGGCCTGACAGCATTATGGACAATAAGGTCCAGGCTGAGGTGGTCTCAGATGGAGATGAGGAACTTGTCGGGAACTGGAGCAGAGGTGACTCTTGTTATGTTTTAGCAAAGACACTGGTGGCATTTTGCCACTGCCCTAGAGATTTGTGGAACTTTGAACTTGAGAGAGATGATTTAGGGTATCTGGTGGAAGAAATTTCTAAGCAGCAAAACATTCAAGGTGTGACTTGGGTCCTGTTAAATGGATTCAGTTTTATGAGGGAAGCAGAGCATAAAAGTTCAGAAAATTTGCAGCCTGAGAATGTGATAGAAAAGAAAAACCCATTTTCTGAGGAGAAATTCAATCAGGCTGCAGAAATTTGCATAAGTAACAAGAAGCTGAATGTTAATCCGCAAGACAATGGGGAAAATGTCTCCAGGGCATGTCAGAAGTCTTCACAGCAGCCCCTCCCATCACAGGCCTGGAGGCCTAGGAGAAAATGGTTTTGTGGGCCAGGCCCAGGGTCCCAATGCTGTGTCCAGCCTAGGGACTTGGTGCGCTGCATCCCAGCCGCTCTAGCCATGGCTGAAAGGGGCCAATGTAGATAGAGCTCAAGCTGTGGCTTCAGAGGGTGCCCTAAGCCTTGGCAGTTTCCACATGGTGTTGAGTCTTTAGGTACACAGAAGTCAAGAATTGAGGTTTGGGAACTTCCACCTGGATTTCAGAAGATGTATGGAAACGCTTGGATGCCCAGCCAGAAGTTTGCTGCAGGGGCAGGGATCTCATGGAGAACCTCTGCTAGGGCACTGCAGAAGGGAAATGTGGGGTCGAAGCCACCATATGGAGTCCCTACTCGGGCACCTTCTAGTGGAGCTGTGAGAAGAGGGCCAATGACCTCCAGACCCCAGAATGGTAGATCCACCTACAGCTTGCACCGTATGCCTGGAAAAGCTGCAGACACTCAACACCAGCCCGTGAAAGCAGCCAGGAGGGAGGCTGTGCCCTACAAAGCCACAGGGGTGGAGTTGCCCAAGACCATGGGAACCCACCTCTTGCATCAGCATGACCTGGATGTGAGACCTGGAGTCAAAGGAGATCATTTTGGAGGTTTAAAATTTGATTGCCTTGCTGGATTTCGGACTTGCATGGGCCCTGTAACCCCTTTGTTTTGGCCAATTTCTCCCATTTGGAACAGCTGTATTTACCCAGCAATACCTGTACCCCCATTATATCTAGGAAGTAACTAGCTTGCTTTTGATTTTACAGGCTCATAGGAGGAAGGGACTTGCCTTGTTTCTGTTGAGACTTTGAACTGTGGACTTTTGGGTTAATGCTGAAATGAGATGAGACTTAGGGGGACTGTTGGGAAGGCATGATTGGTTTTGAAATGTGAGGACATAAGATTTGGAGGGGCCAGGGGCAGAATGATATGGTTTGGCTCTGTGTCCCCACTCAAGTCTCATCTTGAATTGTACTCCCATAAATCCCATGTTTTGTGGGAGGGATATGGTGGGAGATAATTTGAATCATGGGGGCAGTTTCCCCCCTACTATTCTCATGGTAGTGAATAAGTCTCATGAGATCTGATGATTTTATCAGGGGTTTCTGCTTTTGCATCTTCCTCATTTTCTCTTGCCACCACCATGTAAGATGTGCCTTTCACCTCCCACCATGATTCTGAGGCCTTCCCAGCCATGTGGAACTGTAAGTCCAACTAAACCTCTTTTTCTCTCCAGTCTCAGGTATGTCTTTATCAGCAGCATGAAAACGGACTAATCCACTGGGGAAGGTCAGGGATTTGATAACGTGGACCCTCAAAAGCAATAAGCTCATCTATCTTGTAATTTCAGAAGAAATCAAATTGCCACACAAAAGGAGGCAATTCCATCAGAATATCAGAAAGAAAAATGTGAGGTCTGAGAAGAAGAGAATTGATTTCTATTGAAATGACAGCCAAACGTTTTTATTCTGAGGCATAGTACAGATTTGCTTAACTATCATGATATATAGGGAGGAAAGAGCAGTATGCTGGTTATTAATTTATTGCCTCTCAACTCCAGATCCACCCATCTTTGTTTGCTTTTGTTACAAAGCTGGATTCTGTAAACATTTCTCCTTTGCCAGTTCGTACAAGATTTGACTTTGTCAACAGAGGATGCTGGAGGGACAATGCGTGGCCATGGGAAGAGAAACTAACTTCCTGGTACCGGTGTGCTGTTCTATTTTTATTTATTTATTTTAATTATTTACTTATGTGGCTGCTAGCAGATCAACTTGTGGGAGGCCTGGTGGCATTTACCCTAGTGGGTTGCTTCCTGTGAACCAGTTCAGGCCCAGCCACACCATCCAGCAAGTTCCTCCCCCATCCAACAGGCCACTTCCTGTGGACCAACTCCAGATTGCCCTCCTCCCCCAGTGAATTAATTCACCACCCTTTAGGCCACTCCCACAGCCCAGCTCCAGCCTGCACCCTGGCGGGTTTTTTCACCAACAGGGTATGTGGTAGCACAGGTTCCTGTGTTAGCCACAGTGTCGCTAGTGAAAGCCACATCTCAGCTTTGGCAGGGAAAGGTCTTCTGAGTTCTTTGTTCCTCCCTCTTAGACTGCCCAGTATAATGAAGAGATGATATTTGTATTTTAGGAATTATAGAATGATCTACTTATCATTTCAGATTCTGAAGACAGGAATAAGATGAAGGAATGGAAATCAAAGATGGAAATTTCTGAAGAAAAGAAGTCAGCAAGGGCTGCATCCGAAAAACTCCAAAGACAAATCACCCAGGAATGTGAGTTAGTTGAAACCAGTAATTCTGAGGACAGATTATTGAAGCACTGGGTAAGCCCTTTAAAGGATGCAATGAGACATCTCCCTTCCCAAGAGAGCGGTATCAGGGAAATGCATATTATCCCCCAGAAAGCCATTGTGGGAGAGATTGGCCATGGATGTAATGAAGGAGAAAAAATACTTTCTGCAGGAGAAAGCTCCCATAGATATGAGGTTAGTGGCCAAAACTTCAAACAGAAGTCAGGATTAACTGAACATCAGAAAATTCATAATATAAATAAGACCTATGAATGTAAGGAATGTGAAAAAACCTTCAACAGGAGTTCAAACCTGATCATACATCAGAGAATTCATACAGGAAATAAGCCATATGTGTGTAATGAATGTGGGAAAGACTCTAATCAAAGTTCAAATCTTATTATACATCAGAGAATTCATACAGGAAAGAAACCTTATATATGTCATGAATGTGGAAAAGACTTCAATCAGAGCTCCAATCTGGTGAGACATAAGCAAATTCACAGTGGTGGGAATCCCTATGAGTGCAAAGAGTGTGGGAAGGCTTTTAAGGGAAGCTCAAACCTTGTCCTGCACCAGAGAATCCACAGTAGGGGGAAGCCATATTTATGCAATAAATGTGGGAAGGCTTTCAGTCAAAGCACAGATCTTATTATACATCACAGAATTCACACTGGAGAGAAACCCTATGAATGTTATGACTGTGGACAGATGTTCAGTCAAAGTTCACACCTTGTCCCACATCAGAGAATTCACACTGGAGAGAAACCCCTCAAATGTAATGAATGTGAAAAAGCCTTCAGGCAGCATTCTCACCTTACTGAACACCAGAGACTCCACAGTGGAGAGAAACCCTATGAATGTCACAGATGTGGGAAGACCTTCAGTGGGCGCACAGCTTTTCTTAAACATCAGAGATTGCATGCTGGAGAGAAAATTGAAGAATGTGAGAAAACCTTCAGCAAGGATGAGGAGCTTAGGGAAGAGCAGAGAATTCACCAGGAAGAGAAAGCTTATTGGTGTAATCAGTGTGGTAGGAATTTCCAGGGCACCTCAGACCTCATCAGACATCAGGTAACTCATACAGGAGAGAAACCATATGAATGTAAAGAATGTGGGAAAACTTTCAATCAGAGCTCAGACCTTCTGAGACATCATAGAATTCACAGTGGAGAAAAACCTTGTGTATGTAGCAAATGTGGGAAATCTTTTAGGGGCAGCTCAGATCTTATTAGACACCATCGTGTTCATACTGGAGAGAAACCCTATGAATGTAGTGAATGTGGGAAAGCCTTTAGCCAGAGGTCACACCTTGTTACACACCAGAAAATCCATACTGGAGAGAAGCCCTATCAGTGCACTGAATGTGGGAAAGCCTTCAGGCGGCGTTCACTCCTTATTCAACATCGGAGAATTCATAGTGGTGAGAAACCCTATGAATGTAAGGAATGTGGGAAGCTCTTCATTTGGCGCACAGCTTTCCTCAAACATCAGAGCCTGCATACTGGAGAGAAACTTGAATGTGAGAAAACCTTCAGCCAGGATGAGGAGCTTAGGGGAGAGCAGAAAATTCACCAGGAAGCGAAAGCTTATTGGTGTAATCAGTGTGGTAGGGCTTTCCAGGGCAGCTCAGACCTCATCAGACATCAGGTAACTCATACAAGAGAGAAACCATATGAATGCAAAGAATGTGGGAAAACTTTCAATCAGAGCTCAGACCTTCTGAGACATCATAGAATTCACAGTGGAGAAAAACCTTATGTATGCAACAAATGTGGGAAATCTTTTAGGGGTAGCTCAGATCTTATTAAACACCATCGTATTCATACTGGAGAGAAACCCTATGAATGTAGTGAATGTGGGAAAGCCTTCAGCCAGAGGTCACACCTTGCTACACACCAGAAAATCCATACTGGAGAGAAACCCTATCAGTGCAGTGAATGTGGGAATGCCTTCAGGCGGCGTTCCCTCCTTATTCAACATCGGAGACTTCATAGTGGTGAGAAACCCTATGAATGTAAGGAATGTGGGAAACTCTTCATGTGGCACACGGCTTTCCTCAAACATCAGAGACTGCATGCTGGAGAGAAACTTGAAGAATGTGAGAAAACCTTCAGCAAGGATGAGGAGCTTAGAAAAGAGCAGAGAACTCACCAGGAAAAGAAAGTTTATTGGTGTAATCAGTGTAGTAGGACCTTCCAGGGCAGCTCAGATCTCATCAGACATCAGGTAACTCATACAAGAGAGAAACCATATGAATGTAAAGAATGTGGGAAAACTCAATCAGAGCTCAGACCTTCTGAGACATCATAGAATTCACAGTGGAGAAAAACCTTACGTATGCAATAAATGTGGGGAATCTTTTAGGAGCAGCTCAGATCTTATTAAACACCATCGTGTTCATACTGGAGAGAAACCTCATGAATGTAGTGAATGTGGGAAAGTCTTTAGCCAGAGGTCCCACCTTGTCACACACCAGAAAATCCACACTGGAGAGAAGCCCTATCAGTGCACTGAATGTGAAAAAGCCTTCAGGCGGCGTTCACTCCTTATTCAACGTCGGAGAATTCATAGTGGTGAGAAACCCTATGAATGTAAGGAATGTGGGAAACTCTTCATGTGGCACACAGCTTTCCTCAAACATCAGAGACTGCATGCTGGAGAGAAACTTGAAGAACGTGAGAAAACCTTCAGCAAGGATGAGGAGCTTAGGGGAGAGCAGAAAATTCACCAAGAAGAGAAAGCTTATTGGTGTAATCAGTGTGGTAGGGCTTTCCAGGGCAGCTCAGACCTCATCGGACATCAGGTAACTCATACAGGAGAGAAACCATATGAATGTAAAGAATGTGGGAAAACTTTCAATCAGAGCTCAGACCTTCTGAGACATCATAGAATTCACAGTGGAGAAAAACCTTATGTATGCAACAAATGTGGGAAATCTTTTAGGGGCAGCTCAGATCTTATTAGACACCATCGTGTTCATACTGGAGAGAAACCCTATGAATGCCCTGAATGTTGGAAGGCCTTCAGTCAGAACTCACACCTTGTCAGTCATCAAAGAATTCATACCAGAGAGAAACCCTTTGAATGTAGCAACTGTGGTAAGGCCTTCAGTGGGTGGACAGCTTTTCTTAAGCACCAGAAACTTCACATTGGAAAGGAATTTGAAGACTGTAAGAGTCTACAAACAGGACCTATTCTAATAGGTAGCAGAAACCTAATGAATGCAGTAAAACTAGGAAAAGTCTGATGGAGACCACATCTTATTGCACTACAAATGAGTTTTATTAGAAAAAAACCATGGGAAGGTGGGAAAGCAGAGAAAATACCTACTGGATTTTTCAAACGTAAGTATAATCAAGTGGAAAAGCCAAAAGCTCTTGGACATAATCACCTTTTTTTTTTCTGTCTCAGAACTGACACTAGAATATGGTCCCAACGATACAATTTTTTAAATTATTTATTTTTTAACATACAAAGAGATGAGGTCTCACTATGTTGCCCAGGCTGGACTTGAACTCTTGGGCTCAAGCACTCCTCCCTCCTCAGCCTCCCAAAGGGTTGGGATTACCGGCATGAGCCACTGCACCAGCCCCAGGGGTCTAATTACTTGAGAATGTTTTAAGGGATGTCTATCATTATTAAAATCATTATAAATCACTTTGGCAACAACCCCAAAACTAAATTATTCATGGAAAGAGCCATTTCAATCTTGACTTCCTAGTCGAGTGACAAGTTTAAATGTGGGAAAAAACCCTGTGAAAGTAATGAGTGTAGGCCAGGTGCGGTGGCTCGTACCTGTAATCCAGCACTTTGGGAAGCCAAGGTGGGCAGATCACGAGGTCACGAGTTGATCATGAGGAGTTACTATGCCCAGCCAACATACTAAAACCCCGTCTCTACTAAAAATAACAAAAATTAGCCAGGCATGGTGGGGCACGCCTGTAGTCCCAGGTACTTGCGAGGCTAGGGCAGGAGAATCACTTGAACCTGGGAGGTGGAGGTTGCGGTGAGCCAAGATCATGCCACTGCACTCCAGCCTGGGCAACAAGTGCGAAACTCCATCTCAAAAAAAAAAAAAAGTCTAACTCTTCTGCTTGTCTTTACAATGCTGTACAGTGAGAGCTAATGTTTATAAGGATAAACAGGATACTTACAGGGATTTGAAGGTAATTTAATTCAGTGGTTTCCAACTTTTTAATCACCAAGGCCTTCTTTTTACTCCCCTATGTCCTGTGTCTTAAAAGATTATGTTTACCAAACTGCATTTATTAAAGAATTATATTTTGCTACATAAAGGCATGTACAACACAAATCATGCTTCTGACTGGCACCATGTAGGCAGACCTAGGTACTAAAATTCCAGCCCAAAGCAAATAATTTACCATTTTCATTAGTCTTTTTATTCCTTTTGTGGGCAAACATATCGTCTATGTTAGGCTTTTTGAAATATTAACTATGACTTGTAAACTCCAGATTAAAAACTAACCAATTCATCTTTGATGGAGCTTGAATCAAACTAAGGGTATTGGACTTTTGAAAGATTGAAATTTTTGTTACAGTATGGAATGTTTTTAACTGAATGTTGAAATAAAAGTTATTTAAGAATTACTTAGTGACTGTTTAGTATGTGCCAGGGGCCGTAATTAGATGGGGCTGAAGAAAGATAGTCATTGTTGAATCTTCTTCAGGTAGACCAGGTCCTCCTTGAGGTTCTCAGGCTGCATCTCCAGGTTGGCTCCGGCCAGGGTCAGCTTGTCCAGCCCCTGGTGCAGCTCCAGAGACCCAGCCTCGCTTGGTGCAGAAGTCATTGGCAGCCAGGTGGGCATCATCCACCTGTAGCCAGCACTTCTCCATTCTGCCAACGTCTCCGGCCTGGTGAGTCTGGATGTGAGCGCATCCCAGGGGGCCCAAGGCACAGAGAGAGAGAGGAACGGGGTGGAGGGAGGGAAGTGTGTGCAGGGGCCAGGAGCGCCAGGCTGCTCGGGCTTCCCGGCCCCTGCAGCCCGCCAGGAGCTGTGGCCAAGGCAGAGGCCTGCCCTGCTGCTGCTGGCGCTGTCACCTCCCTGTGGTCCTGCCTTCTGGGTCCTTGAGGGCCTCCTGTCATCTGGAACTGGAAATAAGTTAGTGAAGCGACGTTTTGTGAATATTTATTGGCCTTTGCGTCTTTGTCTTCATTTTCAGTGCTGGCTTTTCTGTTGGGTCATTTGTGTTCTTATGTTGATTTGAAGAATTTAAAAAGGTATTCTATAAATTAATCCTTTATGGGGTCATTTCTAGTGCAGATAGTTGTTTCTTAGTCTGGTCATTGTACCGTAATTTTATTTCACATTTCTTTCTTGCTGGTAAATAAGAATCTAATTGATTTTATATATTGATTTTGTATCTTGTTACCTGGTTTAATTCACATATTCATAGGCATCATTTTTGGATTGTGGTGGGTTTTTCATGTACTTATGTACATGTAGTTATGTACTTATGTACTTAAATACTTAACGTACTTACATACTTATGTAGTTAGTGTCAGCCACATATAATAACACCTATATTGCTTAAATGTTGGTTCTTACACCTTTATTTTTCTTTATTTTCTTCTTTTATTGTCCCCATCACACCTCCTGAACACGGTGTGTCTGGTTCTGATTCCAGGGAACAGGTTTCAGTGATCCTGTATTCCTTATGTAGTTTATTATAATTTCATTTTAGACAAACAATGAGATTAAGGAAGCTGCCTTCTTTTACATATGCTAAGAGTTATTTATGACTAATTGTTGAATTTGAATAAATGCTTTTTTTTACATATACTGTAAATAATCATATGTTTTTCTCGTATTTTTCTGAAAATAGGATATTTTATGTGAACTATTTTTGGATGTTAACCAATCCTGCATTTTTTAGTATATCCCACTTGGTATCCATGTGTTACATTTCCATATGTGGTTTAATTCATATGATATGGTTTTTTTTAGAATATTTGTATTTCTGTTAATGAAAGAGTGGGCCTATAATTTTTTTTTCTAAGGTCCTGTTCAGATTGTGGTGTCAAAGTAATGCTGGCTTCACAAAAAAAAAAAACTGAAAAATATTTCCTATATTTCTTCTCTTTGGAAGAGTCTGAGAAATTTAGGTGTTTTCTTCCTTAAATATTTGGAATATTTCTTTAGGTATGGAATTTTCCTTGTGGAACAGTATTTTTGTTGGCTGGTTTGACTTCTAATAATTCAAATCCTTCGGTATATGTAGGAGTTTTCTTGTTTTATGTTATTTCTGTGTCCGTTTTAGTAAGTTTATTTTTATTTTTATTTTTTGGGGGACAGAGTCTCACTCTGTCTCCCAGGCTAGAGTGCAGTGGCGCAATCTCGGCTCACTGCAACTTCCGCCTCCTGGATTCAAGCAATTCTCCAGCCTCAGCCTCCTGAGTAGCTGGAGTTACAGGTGCGTGCCACCACCCCGGCTAATTTTTGTGTTTCTAGTAGACACGGGGTTTCACTATGTTGGCCAGGCTGGTCTCGAACTCCTGACCTCGTGATCCACCTGCCTCAGCCTCCCAAAGTGCTAGTATTACAGGTGTGAGCCACAGTGCCCGGCTGTATTTTTTAGTAGAGACGGGTTTTCAGCATGTTGGCCAGGCTGGTCTCGAACTCCTGGCCTCAGGCGATCCACCTGCCTCGAACTCCCAAAGTGCTGGGATTACAGGCGTGAGCCACCATGTCCGGCCTAGTAAGTTTATTTTTCAATGTGATGTTATTTGAATCTCTGTTGTCAAACTTGTAGTCCTAAGTATTTCACCGAACCCTCCTAGTGTCTTAATACACTGCTCTATGGAACAGGCTTTTGTTTTGGTTCCGGATATTGGTTTTCTGTGTCTTTCCTCTTTGCCTCAGTTGGTTTCACTAGTGGTTTCTTAAGTGTATTAATATTTATAAACCAACTTTTTTTTTTTTTTTTATGAGACAGAGACTCACTGTGTTGCCCATGCTGGAGTGCAGTGGTGCGATCTCGGCTCACTGCAAGCGCCGCCTCCCTGGTTCAGGCCATTCTCCTGCCTCAGCCTGCCGAGTAGCTGGGACTACAGGCACCCGCCACCCCGCCTGGCTAATTTTTTGTATTTTTTAGTAGAGACGGGGTTTCACTGTGTTAGCCAGGATGGTCTTGATCTCCTGACCTCGTGATCCGCCTGCCTCGGCCTCTCAAAGTGCTGGGATTACAGGTGTGAGCCTCTGCGCCCAACCCTATAAACCAACTTTTATCCTTGATTTGTTTCTGTTGCTTTTTTTTTCCTATTTCATTGATGTCTGCTCTTTATTACTTTCTCATTCTTTCATTTTGATCGTTTTTAATTCTTGAGAAGGGAGTTTATGTGATTGACTGTCAATCTTTTTTTCTATTCTAACATACTCCTTTAAGGCTGTAAATTTCTCTCTAAGCAGGGATTTATCTGACAGCCCACATTTTCCATCAGGTGTTTCCAAACCCTGTGTCTGCAGCCGCATTGACCTCCCAGTGTCTCCACCCTGTATCACCTACAGCCATGCCAGGCTTGTGTGTCTCCATCCTTGTGCAACAGAGACCCTGTCTCTATTTAAAAAAAAAAAAAGAAGAAACCTAAAAACAGACTGGCACTTAAAAGAGTTGTGCTTCATTTTTTGACTTTCCGTATTAATTTTCTGTTTGTTTGTTCCTTAAACAAGCTGCCACTGCTGCTGATTCAACATGTTTCATTTTATTCTTTTTTTTTTTTTTTTTTTTTGAGACAGAGTTTTGCTCTTGTTGCCCAGGCTGGAGTGCAATGGCGTGATCTCGGCTCACTGCAACCTCTGCCTCCCGGGTTCAAGCAATTCTCCTGCTTCAGCCTCCCAAGTAGCTGGGATTACAGGCATGCACCACCATGCCTGGCTAATTTTGTATTTTTAGTAGAGACGGGGTTTCTCCATATTGGTCAGGCTGGCCTGGAACTCTCAACCTTAGGTGATCCGCCTGCCTTGGCCTTCCAAAGTGCTGGGATTACAGGTGTAAGCCACTGGGCCTGGCCCATTTTATACATTTTTAATGTGTATTCTTGTTTTTGGAAAATGTGAACAGAGTACTATTAAACTCTTTTAGCGTCGGTGTAGCAAGGAGGTAAAGAAACAAACAACAAAACAAACAAAAAATCCCTCTTTGTGAAATAGGATTGAATATCGTTGGATTGAGCACTTACCAAGCAACTGTGCCAGGGTTTGTGTCCTTCATTTAATTCTTACAAGCCTGAGTGTTCCGTATTTTAACTTTATAGGTGAACAAATAGAAGCTGAGGGTGAAGGACCTACAGCTGTCACCTTCATCTCTTCTCAACACTGCCAGATGTCTCCTTGGATCTCCCAGACAGACAACAAGGGGCATCTCTGGTTTCTCGGTGCCCGCTAGAAACCTAGGGTCATTTCAAGGCATTATGCAAATGAGAAGCTTTCCTTCTCTTCACCTCATCTCCTGATCTGCACAAAAATGACTGTAGGACCCACTGTAGGTACCAATGTAGGCACCAATCCTCAGTTTACCACCTGCTCTCTACTTGCTTCCCTGCCATAACTTTCTAAAAGGGATGTGAGCCATGTTTAAAGTCACCTGGTCACTGGAGAGATCTTGTTCTACCCTCTACATCAGTGGTTGCCAACCTTTTTGGCACCAGGGATGGGTGTTGTGGAAGACAATTTTTCCACGGACTGGGGGGATGGGGGGAATGGTTTCAGGATAAAACTGTTCCACCTCAAATCATCAGGCATTAGATTCTCATAAGGAGCACACAACCTAGATTGCTAGCATGCGCAGTTCACAATAGGGTTCTTTCTCCTGTGAGAATGGCGTGCCGCTGCTGATCTAACAGGAGGCAGAGCTCAGGCGGTAATGGGAGCAAGGGGGAGCGGCTATAAATACAGCTCGCCACTCACCTCCTGCTGTGCAGCCCGGTTCCTAACAGGCCATGGACAGTACTGGTCTGTAGCCCAGGAGTTGGGGAATCCTGCTCTACAGAGTTTCCAACCTCAGAGATGAAGCATCCCCTCTGTATACAAGTCAGAAAGAAATTATTCAAGTAGGAGAATTAAAACAGGATCACAGAGAGGGAGGCTGAAGAATTTGACTTTCTGTGTTTACTTGTATGAGGAAAAACAGCACATAGAGGCAACCACAGTATTTAATTTGTTTGGATAATAGTTAACAGATAAACAGGTACACCCCATATACAATTACCAATACTTTTGATACAGTTCATATTTCAGTACATCAACACTATTTTATTTACACTCTATTTATGTACATTAACATCTTTCTAAAGTCAGTGCATTGTCAACAAGTTTTATACAGTAATTTACAAGGTGAATGTAGTTAATAGTTAATTTAATAAATTTTCCGCTAGTTCATGAATTAAAAAAATTAATTACAACCAGTATAACACAAATCACACAACATTAGTAGATTGTGCTACCTGTTTAAATAAAACATCTGTAAAGAAATTATTTAAAATCTTCCACTTTTTAATGGGACATGTCCAGGTAGGAATGGACAGATTTTATTTACTGAAAATCTTGAAACTATAAAGTGTGCATTTTGTCTGACTTTATTACATTAGACAATTTAGGCCACTCCTACCTACTTGCAATTATATTTTTTCTGAAAAGGATTTCAATTTAGGTAGCCATTTAAGATAACCTTTCCAAATGCTCTGAGAACTAGATATTAATAGTTACTGGCCTCAGATATCAGAACACAAATGCTTAGTTACATTGGTAATTACTACCTATGAGGAAGAAAGGGTAATGGAATCTGGCAATGAGAATCAACTTGCAGGGTCTAAATGAATAAACAAAGACCAAAAATAAGGTGAAACATTTCCTTCAAGTATATATTAAGAAACTACATGAAAAAAATTCTACCTCAAATAAATAATATTTATACTTTTGTTCCAATCTTAAATAATTAGAGGGAAAAAATGAAGTAAGCAAAGAAACATAACTTTCAATGACTACTGTAAAATTTAAAAAAAGACAAATATCAAAATAAAAAAACCAGTGGACATGCAAACAAAGCAAAACTAAAGTTGACTTCCTAAAACCACCAATTTCATTAAATATACTTATGAACTCCTAATGTCTGGGATGTGTTTTGTTTGTAATTTATAGCCCTTAGAGCCATCAAATACACACAAGCAAGTTCATTTGCATGTGTTCTCTCTTTTTTAAAGTGCAAAACAAACACAGAAAAGAATAACCACTAATTGTGAAACGTGATCTAGCTCCGATGCCGCTTACCTTCCCAGAAGCTCTTGTTGCAACATGTGCATGTGAAGATGGTGCAAATATTGGCAACTGCTCCCCTTCCCTCAGCATGGGCGGGGCCGGGGGTGCAGAATACATTTCTGAGGATACTTGAAGTAGCCTAAATGTAAGATGCCTCCACTGGGAGGGCCCTGGTAGCTGGATTTCCCAGGATGTTTTTCTTTCTACTGGGTCTCCCTCTGGTTGGAAGGCACATAGCTCTTAAGAGAGCCTCCCTTTCAGACTGACCACTCTATGCCCCTGCCACCAATGACTGGTTGTGTCTCAAACGTAAACACAATGGCAAAAACAAAAAGCAAGAAAAAGAAAGGGTATGGAAACAGTTTAAAAAATAAATTGAAAAATCCTTGTCCATGCCGTAAGAATCATTTGCACACCTTCATGATCTTGCTTTCTCCATCTTGTCAATATAATGGAATAAAACTTCAGGAAAAAGGAGGTAGCGTATCATGTCGTCCCTAGACAACATTATAATTGTTTGTTTTTTCCTCTGACTCCAAGGAAATCTTTAATATTTGTTATGATTATTGGTAAACTCTATACTCACTACATATTTGTTCATATCTGGACAAGCACAATTCAATTCTTATTTGGTCCCAGGTGGCTGGTGCCACACCTTTTGTTTACAGGCTAATGGTGGGATCTGCCTGAAAGTTCTCTATCAGACAGCTTGTATGAGACTTCAAAATACAATTGTTTCTACTCTTCAAGTTAACTATTTTAATTAGAATTTTTGTTCTAACAGGATAAAATAACTACATTTAGCTTGTCTTTCAGTGACACTTTTGCCAAGTATCAGCTACAAGGAGTCATCTCCCTCGCCACCAAGCTGTCTAGCAGCCAGAGTGGTAGCTTTACTGTAACATAGAGTACTTTTCGTAATCAGACTCAGAGTCTTCATCCGTACTGCTTGTGTCTGCCATCTTTTTGCCATCAATCTTTGGCAGAAATTGTGCGTAGTCTATCCCCTGCTGCTCATAGAAAAGAATGTAGGCAGAGTCGGTGTCAATTTCATCAGGGTGAAGTTCCTGAAAGGGCAAGAAAAACCTTTAACAAAAAGCCATCACTATTATGACTCTAAATCCTTGCCAGGAAAGGGAAGACCAACCCTCTGTAATTACTAACCTGATTGCTTCCAATAAGCTCACTAGTTTGGCTGTCTCACACCTGCCCCTTTAAAATGAGCCCCATTATTTCCAATGTTTGCTTTGGGGAAAATATTTTGACCATAGACAAGTCAAAACAGAATGACCTAAAACCCCATCAAATTCTAATTATTTATTTTGTATGTATTTATTTTTTTGAGATGGAGTCTCGCTCTGTCACCAGGCTGGTGTGCACTGGTGCAATCTCAGCTCACTGCAACCTCTGCCTCCCGGGTTCAAGCGATTCTCCTGCCTCAGCCTCCCGAGCAGCTGGGACTACAGGCATGTGCCACCACATCTGGCTAATTTTTTGTAGTTTTAGTAGAGATGGGGTTTCACCATATTAGCCAGGATGGCCTCTATCTCCTGACCTCATGATCCGCCCACCTTGGCCTCCCAAAGTGCTGGGATTATAGGCATGAGCCACCGCGCTCGGCCCAACCCCATCAAATTCTAACAGTCTAGAAGATAGGAGCTTTTTGCATTAACTAACTACTTTTTTTTTTTTTTTTTGAGACAGAGCCTTGCTCTGTTGCTCGGGCTGGAGTGCAGTGGTGCAGTCTTGGCTCACTGCAACCTTCACCTCCCAGGTTCAAGCCATTCTCCTGCCTCAGCCTCCCGAGTAGCTGGGATTACAGGCATGCGCCAACATGCCCAACTAATTTTTGTATTTTTAGTAGAGATGGGGTTTCACCATGTTGGCCAGTCTGGTCTCGAACTCCTGACATCAAGTGATCCACCTCCTAAGCCTGCCTCAGCCTCCCAAAGTGCTGGGATTACAGGCATGAGCCACTGCGCCCGGTCAACTAACTCTTTATTTTTCCTCACTACTCATGTTTTCATTCCCTGCTCTGCATATCACTTTTGTTCCTTTAATACTGACAGCATCTATATATTAATTCTAACAGAAATATCTATTTCCTATTCAAGAGATAGTCCATTATTTCAACAAATGTTCCCCAGTTCTGTTGATATTCTAACTTTCATTCAAAGATTGAGAATGTTTACCTCACAGCTGCTGTCATTATAACAGTACCACTTGCAGTTTGGGTTTTTGGCATAAGTGATGTAATGGCCCCCACTCAGAATTCCTGAATGGCACTGTAAGAGATAAGAGAGTGGAGGTATGTTAGTAGTTAACTGTACTATGGCCAGGGTATAGCACTAAGATCTGAGCAGGAGAACACTGATCATGTAAATGATCAATAGGTGAGAAAATATTTTAGAACCCTCTTTCTCTAAAACCAAAATAAGCAAAAAGCAAAATACAAAAGTCATAAGCTCCAAGTCTTGTGTGGATAAACAATCATTTTATAATTGTAATTACTATTATTATTATTATTATTTTGAGACAGGGGCTTGCTCTATCACCCAGGCTGGGGTGCAGTCGAGTGATCACAACTCTCTAAAGACTTGACCTTCTGGGCTCAGGTGATCCTTCTGCCTCAGCCTTTCAAGTAGCTGGGACCACAGGCACATGCCACCATACCTCGCTCCATTTTAAAATTATTTGTAGAGACGGGGCCCAAGCAGCTGGTCTCAAACTCCTGGGCTCAAGCGATCCTCCTGTCTCAGCCTTCTAAAGTGCTGGGATTACAGGTGTGAGCCACCACACCACATCTGTGAGCCCAGATTTCAATGTTAACTTTGTCTATCACTAAGCTCAATGCTAGGAAATTAGCAGGACCTGAAAAATACTTGCTGATGAATACATGAAGACAAGTGAACAAAACACAGACCACTCTCTGAAAACCGTATAATAAACCACTTACTGAAATTGCATATAGATTATAAATAGGCTTAATATGAGTGTCTTCTCTTTGGTCATCAGTGCTGTCTTCTTCACTGTGGTTTCCAAGCTGACCATTGCTGTAGCCATCGCCACAGCCATTGCCACATGCTTCATGCTCATAAAGGAATCCATTGGCCAAAGCTACCTCATGGTCCTGAGGAGTGACCAGCTCTGGTTGGCTGCCCCCCCGCATATGCCCTCGGCTCAAGGCGTCAGCCAGCTCACAGATCTGCCCAGCCCCATTCTCTTTGCTGGCATCCAAGTTCTTCTTACTACTTGACGGCTTATTTTTGCTGCCAATCTGGGGCAGCCGGAGCCTCCCTTTGCTCCTCCCCAAAGTCCGTGGGCTGCTATTAGGGCTGCTGTTTTTGCTGGAGGGACAGCTGGTTCCACTTTTTCTTGATGAAGAAGGAGAACCTGTGAACAGGACAGAAGAAAAGATTCACAAATCCAAATGCCAGAAAGTAAGCCAGCCCCAAATGCTAACTCCGAGGTTAGCTTTGCAACTGTACACACAAAGGTAAAGACAGGGGAGTCATGACTGGCTACCCTTTGGTTCCTATTGTGTAGCCAGTAAGTTACATTTTTGTCTTCTTCAATGCCAAGTCCCTATAAGCAACAATGTCCTGAAAATGTAAAGTGCATTATAGGGACTCAGAAAACAGCAGAAAGATGATTATGATTTATGATGATTCAGTTGAAAAAAATCCAACTATTAGAGTAAGGAGTTTTCCAAATACATATTCCTCTCCTTTGTAAAATTAGACAAAAAATGTGACCACCATTTACTGAGTACTTCCTATTGTTAGGCATGGTACTGGGAATTTCCTGCTGTCCGTTGTTACCTCTGTGTCTCACAAAAATCCTGCAAGGCTTTAAACCTTTTAGTTATAGCCTCTTACCCCTACCCCCTTTTATACCTTTAAAAATTATTGAGAACCTTTAGAACTTTTATGTGAATTTTATCTATCAATATTTCCTGTATTAGAAATTAAAACTGAGGAATGAAAAAGTACAATACATTAGCACAGACTTCACTGTCAAAGTGACGATATTATTCCATGTCATGTTTTCTCTTACACCATTGTACATCTGTGAGAGAAAAAAAGTGAAAAAGCACATATTTTCTCAGTATTTTTATGAAAATCATTTTGGGCCAGGCACAGTGGCTCACACCTGTAATCCCAGCACTTTAGGAGGCCGAAGCAGGAGGTTCACTTGGGTGCAGGAGTTCGAGCCCAGCCTGGGAAACATGGCGAAGCACCATCTCTACAAAAAATACAAAAATTAGCCAGGTGCAGTGGTGCATGCCTGTAGTCCCAGCTACTCAGGAAGCTGAGGTGGGAGGATTGATTGACCCCAGGAGGTCCAGGCTGCAGTGAGCTGTGATCTGTGTTGCACCACTGCACTCCAGCCTGGGTGACAGAGTGAGACCCTGTCTCAAAAAAACAAAAAATAAAATAAATAAATAAAAAAGGAGTTTTGATCCTCTAGACCCCCTGAAAGATGGGGAACCTCAGAACTTTCACTATAAGGGGACAAGACAGCAGCTACCATTCCTGTTTACCATACATCAGGCACTGTGTGAAGTGCTTTACTCTCCATGTGTCAAACTCTCAACTCTGTAAACCTGGCATTATCTCCATTTTACAGATGAGGAAATAGATTCAGGGAGGCTGAATCTCTTGCTACAACTTACATAGCTCAAATACAGATAGGTCTGATTCCAGATAGGTTCCTTCCACCCAACCAACCTGATGTTCCAGAACAGAAGACAGAGAAACATATGTAGCCTACAGGAGTCCCAAGAAAGCAACTGCATAAGGCCCCCAGGCCTCACCTTTTGGGCTGCTGCTGATGTTAGCGCTGAGTGAGGATGGGCTTTTGCTTAGGAGCATGTCCTCTTTTCCAGCCGAACTCTGCGCATCCACTTTCTTCACCTCTCTTGCCAGAATCCTGGGCTTGGAGAGCTCATCCCCCTGGGGTGTGAGTGGTTTATGCTGGCAGAGGGCCGGGTCTCGTGGTACCAAAAAAGCACTCGGATCAAAACTTTCCCGAAGAAATCTGACAATTTTCTGTGATTTTATCCACTGATCATTTACAAATTGAAATCGCTTAAGGTGAATAATCTGGAGAAGTAAAGGTAGAAAACATCGCATTAAAGGGTTCTGAAGATACAAAATTTACATGGAAAAAACAAGTCAAATACATGTGAATGTTTGGAAATATATAACAGAACATTTACTCTTCATTATTTTTTAAAGACTTCAAAAATATGGTTTCATAAAGGCCTCTACACAGGCCCTAGTGCACTGGCGTCCTTGTGCACACGCGCTCAACTCAGCAGTGTGGCCACAGCCACGTGACTATGTGCAGTGGGTATTGCCCCCGGGCTCAGTTGCTCTTCTAGAGTCCACAAAGGGCTAGCCTAAGCTTCCTCTCTCCACAGAGCCAGAAGTTCACCCTCTCCTGAAGTTCACATTCACCACGTTGTACCCCTTGTGGCAGTTCTCACATCGCACTGAATTGCAGTTACTGGGCTACATGATTGATCTCTTCTTCTAGGTTATGAGCTTTTTAGGAAAAGGAACTACCAAATATTTGTAGAAAGATTCATCTCTGTATTCAACATAAAAACCTTGTACAGAATGTGTTTTAAACACTGCTGCAGGAAAAGTCTTATTCTCAAAAATAACAAAACCTCCTGTTTGTTCATGTCTTCTTTCTTTTATGCTAGATTCCTGCTCTCTCAGAGGCAGGACCGTAACATACCAGGAAGGGTGGAAGCCTCCAGAGATCCAGCTTCTTTGTTGCTAAGCAGTGGGTCTTACACTTGGAACAGTAGTACATCTCACTTTCCCCTAGCTCTTCCTCACTGGTGAAAGCACGGAGACAGCTGTCCAGGTTGATGGGCTCGGCTTGCGCTCGCCGACTCTGCTCCACACTCTCATGCTTATCTACAACCTGTAGGTAGAGGGAACAGGAGGAAAGGGGTGTGTGGGAAGGCATTTAAACTGGTGATCTAGCTATGCATCAACCGCTCGGTCACTCACCCTTATTTTACTCTTTATAAGGAAAAAGAAAATACAACTGGCTGGGTATGATGGCTCAGGCCTGTAATCCTAGCACTTTAGGAGGCCGAGGTGGGGGGAATCGCTTGAGTCCAGGAGTTCAAAACCAGCCTGGCCAACAGAGTGAGACCCTGTCTCAGTAAAAGAAAAATCTAAAAATTAGCTGGGCATTGTGGCGCATGTCTGTAGTCCCAGCTACTCAGGAGGATTGCTTGAGTCTGGGAGGTAGAGGTTGCAGTGAGCTGTGATTACGCCACTGCACTCCAGCCCGGATGACAGAGAGAGACCTTGTCTCAAAAAAAGGGAAAAGAAAACACAACCCAAACTAGAGTCCGAGCAAATACAACACCTACACATTTATTCACAAATGTTACATCAGTAACATTCTGGATAAAATTTCTGTTTATATGACCATAACTTTTCTTGAAAGATTTTTGAATGCTTCAAAATGACAAAAACAAAAAGAATTGAATTTATTTAACAACTTTGGAATCCTATAAGGGGTTACATGTGAGCTGGCCCTCAAGCCAGGGGTGCTGATAGTAAGCCATTTATTTTTAATCAGAAAGCCAGAGCATTATTAGTATGCTGCAGAGTTTACGAGGCTAGGAGAAATAACATGAAACACAGAAACCAGAGCTGGATGAAATGAGGGCACAGAAAAGCTCACCATGAGAAGACAACACAGCAGAGCATGAAACACCACAGGGTACAACTCATTTGCATCTGATCCCATGTAACACAGAGTTATCAGAATACCAAGTCTATAATTATCTGTCTCCTCCCTCATGGGGCCTTTTTATCTGAGATGGCAACAAAAGGAAGAACAAGCTCAAGAGTGTGCTGCTTTTGTTGAGAAGGCCTCTAATACCCACCCAAACCTTTGGGGTCCTGTTAATCAGCATGTTAGGCTGTGGAGCAAGAAGGAGTCAAGTGTAAGAAAGGAGAGAGAGCAAAGAATGGGCGGGGTGCAGGGATGTATGTTGGGGGTGGTGTAGAATGAAGAAGGAGAGAAGGAAGGATCTAGAATGCAGCAGAAGAGAAAGAATTTTTCCCTCTCCATGCCTGGCTGCTACCTGACAAACAATCAAGAACCATAGAGCTGGGATCCTTCTGTTTGTCCCTCTAATGTATGGGAAGGTGGGTGAAGCATCAGGGTTATGAATGCTACCGTTAAGACTTCACACAGTATATATTTGTGTCCCAAAGCACAGCCCGGACCACAAGGCCCACACTGACTGCCTCTCTGTGGCAAATGTCACATATGTCCATCACCCACCCTATTTATTGCTCCTCCCTTCCAGAGGTGAACTTCCTCCATGAATTTCCCTTCCTGAAACTCATGATGGGAACCTTAGGCTGCCTGGAATACAAATTGGCACAGCTCAAGACATTCAGCTTAGCATGGGTTTTCAGGCGAGACTTTTTCCCTACATGAGAGTCACGAGGCTGTCAAATGCTGTTATAAACTAGCAAGGTTGGGTTTGATCATGCAGTTACGGTTCTAGCACTGCATAACTACCCAGGCTAAAGAGCTCATTTAAAAAGGGGAACTTAGAGGAAAATTCTTTTTTTAGAAAAGGAAATCTGGCTTGGACTTGGGTTATAGACTTCTTTTTTGAGTACAAATTCTGTAGTAACAAGATATTAACTGTCATCATCTTTTGAACTGGTCACTCAAGGAAAAAACACGTGCTTCAAAAGGAAACGTGCTGTATCATCGTTGTTGGAATGAGTAGAAAAAGGGGTGTATCATATACGATAGTGTTTCCTTTCTCATGGCCAGTTAAACATTATCTCTATTATCTCTACCAGGAATACTTTATGGCCAACCACAAATGAGAGTAAGCTAGTAAAGAATGTTGAATTTTATTGACCATATTTTCTGGGGAACACAGGCTACAGTGCTAGAGGAAGACAGGGAGGAAAGATGGCTGATAAACAACATATTTGTGGACTGTACTGACAGTAATTTCTATTTATCAGTAAAAGTTCCCAAAGTGATAAAGATTCCCTTTACCTCTTGGGATCTATGCTTAGATCCTCTACTACTGTTTAAATAGTCTATAAATTACCTATAGGAACCCTCTTCTTTTTCAGAGTTGCTTTAAAGCTCATCTTTAACACAAAACACAGGAAATGAAGTAATAGTTTTCATATAAGACTATTAAAGAGAGAGGCCTAAGAATTTGTCTAGTTTAATTTTTTTTTCTTTTTTGTTTTTGTTTTGTTTTGTTTTGTTTTGAGACAGGGTCTTGCTTTGTTACCCAGGCTGGAGTGCACTGGCGAGATCACAGCTCACTGCAGCCTTGATCTCTTGGGCTCAAGCAATCCTCCATCCTCAGCCTCCCAAGCAGCTGGGACTATAGGTGCACACCACCACACCTGGCTAATTTGTGCATTTTTTGTAAAGACAGGGTGACATCATATTGCCCAGGCTGGCATCTAGTTTCATTTTCTACTGAGGAATCTGAGGTCCAAACAGGAGAGAAATATAAAGGATAAGAGTGATTGCCCCTCTATTTTTTTCTGATTACTAGGTATAATATTCATGTGGAAATTTTGGAAAGCAGAGAAAAATGTAAAAAGGCAGGGAATCCTGTTATATTCTTAATACAAAGGCAACCCACTGTCAAAATATTGGCAGATTTTCTTCTGTCCTTTTTCCTAAATAGTATTTTTTTCAATATTGAAGGTATTATTTCCAGTATATGCAACTTTATGTCTTGTTTTTAAAACAATGTTCACATATCGTAAGCATGTTCCCATAAATGTTAGCAAAAACTCCTAGTAATCATTTTCAACAACTGCATTATATTTTATCCAATGAATACACCATGCTTTATTTAACCATTCCTCTAATGTGAGACAAATATAAGTTGTTAATAACTTTTTACTCTCCTAAAAAATGCTATGATGATATTTGCCTGCAAATTATGGAGTAATTACAGAGTATTCTCCCCTCAGATAAATTCCTAAAAGGGAAATCACTGGAATAAAAAATATAAAGCATATGGGCAATAATCCCAATTTAAACCACAGTATCTCTTTTGTCTACATGACTTTCTAAGCACATGCAGAAACCCTACATGTAGTGGAGCCCCGATTAGGCATATGGCCCCACTCCCTAGCAAGGCATCAACAGCCCTTCGTTTCCATGGTATCCTAAGTGCATCACTGAAAGTGGAAGTAGGGTAAGATTTAACAGGTCACGTAGGCCGTTTCCTATAAGCAGGATGTCCTAAAGAGCTTTTCCGATTGCACACTGGATTTGTTAAAAAGAGGAAGAGATTTATAGAGCCAAATAATTTATCATCATTGACAGTAATGTCAGAATAATGCCCTGTCAGATTTTGTGCTAACAAAGATTTATGAATCTATCAACTCGTAAAATTTTCCCTCCTTGCTAGTGAGCATGATCTAGAACATTAGTTTCTCTTCAGCTTTCTTTAGCTTTAGCCTAGTGATCTTTCATTTGACAAGTATCCACAAATTATACTTATTCCTGGCTAGAAAGGGCTCCCAGGAACCTCGGTGTGTGGGGCATATTTTGGGATCTAAATAGGAAACTAGGTCTAGAATTGGTAGTTTCCCCAGTCCTCCATAGCATAACAAGACAGAAAAGTCAGTTACCATTATTAACTTATCCAAAGGGAATGCTTTAAAAACTAGTAAAGGAAATTTCCAACTATCAAGAGCCATAAAAATGCAAAAACCACTACAATTCCTCATGTGACTTAAGGAACTCCTTTGACTCTGTTGCTTTTACCTCTCCATCAGATTCTTAATGTCTTTACCTTTCAAATAATATTTGGTTGATTAAAAACTGCCTGAGGCAAGCATTTTTAGGTATGGAATTAAAATTATTTCTGAAGCAACATTTTCAAAATTTAAAAATTGCTCTGGCCAGACAGCGACAATAGAAGAATGTGAAGTGTGAAGAGCGGCCATTGAGATGTGCTCTTAGGTACCCAAAATGGAAACATTTCAATCCTTTCTCTAACTGTTCTGATCACTCTGCCTATTAAAGGGAGCAGCTACAGCCCTGGGACACACTTGAACTAAGTAACTGTGGTTACCTGGTTACCAAATGCTGCAACTTCGATAATATTTAACAGAGAGATGCTTATTGATATGTCATGGCCAGACACAGTTTTGTTTCAAGATTCACTTATTAATATTTTTGAAATTTAATGCCTGCTATAGTTTGGATATGGTTTGTCTCCACCAAAATGCATGTTGAAATTTGATTCCCAATGTGGCGTTGTTAGGAGGTGGGGCCTAGTAGGAGGTGTTTCGGTCACAGGGGTGAAACTCTCATAAATGGTTGGTGCCATTCTTGCAGTAGTGAGTTCTCTTCTGAGAACTTAGTTTCCAAGAGAGCGGGCTGTTAGAAAGCGAGGATCTTCCTCCTGTTTGGTCCTCCCTCTTGCCTGTGTCTGTTCTCCTTTGCTCTTCTCTGCCATGTTATGATGCAGCACAGAAGTCTTTGCCAGAAGCCAGGACCATGTCCTTGAACTTCCCAGGCTGCCGAATAGTAGTAAGCTAAGTAAA
Organism: Homo sapiens; assembly: GCF_000001405.40. Classification (NCBI taxonomy): domain Eukaryota; kingdom Metazoa; phylum Chordata; class Mammalia; order Primates; family Hominidae; genus Homo; species Homo sapiens. Next base: position 5,163,270 of record NC_000017.11, on the reverse strand, counting down.
CCTCTTTTCTTTGTAAGTTACCAGCCTCACGTACTCTGTTATAGCAACACAAAATGGACAAAGACAATGCCCCAATACAATGAACTCCAGAAGCTGGAAAATGAAAAAGCTCAAGCAAACATGTCAATATATTAGGTGCCATAGAGGATGCCAATGAAGGTTTTTCTGGTTGTTTTTAAATTGTCAAACAGAAATGGCATAATAGTTACACTGGGGGAAATTTCCCATATAAAAACCACCATTTTACGGTGGCCCTAAATTCTTACCCTTTCCTGGGATGTTTGATAGCGAAGGTGAAGGGCTGTGGGGTGCCAATCCACAGCAATATAGGCATTTCCAATGAAAGCTCTGTCTTCCCCACAATCAATTTTACAGCCTCTGCAAAATCTAAAAAGGGGGGAAAGATCCACAGAGGAAGAAATAATTATGAAGGAATTTAAATTTTCTTAATAAAAAATATTCTCCCTTCCTACTTTTCTGCTTTCCTCTTGGGCCTCACAATTTGTCATGGGCTTCTAACTTCAGACTCTGATAAATGTAAGGATACTTATTAATAATTATTATCATTTCAGGGAATCATGCTTTTCACTTTTCAAGTCTTTATTTTTACAAAGTACTTGATAACCATCTGTTAATCACAGGAAGATGTGAACTTTATGGCAAATAAATGACATGGGAATTGGCTGTTTGAGATACTACAGCATGCAAGAAATTCCAAATTCAGTTATTTAATGCTCTGAGGTAGGACAATTTATCTGGTATAACACCTATCTCCTTGTTTGTAAAATGGCAGATTAAATAAATGCATATAAAAGTTTACAGAGGCTGGGCATGGTGTCTCATGCCTGTAATCCCAGCACTTTGGGAGGCTGAGGTGGGTGGATCACCTGAGGTCAGGAGTTCGAGACCAGTTTAACATGGCAAAACCCCATTCCTACTAAAAATGCAGAAATTAGCTGGGTACAGTGGTGTGCAACTGTAGTCCCAGCTACTCGGGAGGCTGAGGCAGGAGAATTGCTTGAACCTGGGAGGCAGAGGTTGCAGTGAGCCAAGATTGAGCCACTGCACCCCAGCCTGGGTGACACAGCGAGACTCCATCTCAAAACAAAACAAAACAAAAAAGGAGAGGTGAATTTATAGAGTAATAAATGTTTGTCACAAGTTATGAATTTGGTATGGACTGTAGTTTATAAAACCAGCTAAGTCTCAAAAGCAAAACTTATCTATTGACCTCAAAAGGAAGTGAAAAACTTTTTTTGAGACAGAGTTTCACTCTTGTTGCCCAGGCTGGAGTGCAATGGCGCAACCTTGGCTCACTGCAGTCTCCGCCTCCTGGGTTCAAGTGATTCTCCTGCCTCAGTCTCCCAAGGAGCTGGGATTACAGGCACACACCACCATGCCCCACTAATTTTTGTATTTTTAGTAGAGATGGGGTTTTACCAGGTTAGGCTGGTCTCAAACTCCTGATCTCAGGTGATCCACCCGCCTCGGCTTCTCAAAGTGATGGGATTACAGGCCTGAGCCATGGTGCCCAGCCACAGTTCTTAAGTTTCTCATTATTCACTATTTACTTCTCAAAATTGGAAATCTTAGGAAAATTGTATAATATCTAAAGCTGAAATTCTACTAAAGTAATTCTTTTGCAGGTCACTTTACCTATACTGTGGGCACCAAGCACAGGAGTTCCCATCTTTCTGCACAACTCGTAGAGTGAATGGATATTGATAGCCCATACAGTTATCACTGAAACAGAAGAGAACAAAAAGAGTGTAAGAAGCATTTCTGGTTCGAGGTCCAACTCCTTTTCATCTTCTCTTGAAGTAATCCTAGGAAGGGGCATTTGCCACAGCAGTATGCTCATGTTGACAGCTCAATGTTACTTACCCTAATCCATTAGCTGCAGCCCAGTACCAAATACACTCTGGCTTCCCATCCTCTATCTGGGCTTACAGAAGGGTAGACAGACTGCCAGATGTCTCTAAGGGAGTCCATGTGGCCCACGAAAATTTTACAAGGTAAGCTAATCATGAAATCAAATACCAATTATCCTTCATTCTATCAGAGGATTTAATTCACATTAAACTAAAATAATTAGATCTTTCCATGACAAGAACACTGACACATTGCAGAAAGCTGTATATTTAGAAGTCTTCTTTAATCAGAATTGCTGATGTGGTACATGCTAAGTACTGCCTTAACTACTCAGAGTTATAAGCTACATACCATTTTTGGAGTAACTTCTTTTTTTTATTATACTTTAAGCTTTAGGGTACATGTGCACAACATGCAGGTTAGTTACATATGTGTACATGTGCCATGTTGGTGTGCTGCACCCATCTCACACCAGTTAGAATGGTGATCATTAAAAAGTCAGGAAACAACAGGTGCTGGAGAGGATGTGGAGAAATAGGAACACTTTTACACTGTTGGTGGGACTGTAAACTAGCTCAACCATTGTGGAAGTCAGTGTGGCGATTCCTCAGGGATCTAGAACTAGAAATACCATTTGACCCAGCAATCCCATTACTGGGTATATACCCAAAGGATTATAAATCATGCTGCTAGAAAGACACATGCACACGTGTGTTTATTGCAGCACTATTCACAATAGCAAAGACTTGGAACCAAGCCAAATGTCCAACAACAACAGACTGGATTAAGAAAATGTGGCACATATACACCATGGAGTAACTTCTTTTAACTGCCAATGATTATGTCAAGATGGCCTTGTGAATTTTCCAACTTTTAAAAAAATTTACTCATCCTTGCCCTAACAAGGAGCAGTGCAACAATTTATACATATTATCGAAATATAAGCTGTATGTCTTAGATGTATATACAATTCCTACTTGTCAATTATAGTTCAATAAAGCTGGGGGTGGGGGAGAAGGAAGCAATGCAAGGAATATAACATAAGAGTGGCATACTTTACAGCTCATCTGGCAAATGATAGTGGTTATTACATGGGCTATTGAAGGTAATGAAACCATGATAAAGAGTCACTGTAAGGGCAAAAGTGAGAATCACATCTGGCATAAGAGTTCCCATCTTTCTGCATAACTCATCCAGTGAATGATCACTGATAGCCTGTACTGTCTAGTACCATGTCCAACTCAGGCCAGCAATAAGTGAGGAATCAAAAGAAAGATAATGGGATAAAACAATCAAGTAGCACTCTCATAGAAAGCTGTGCAACACTTCTCTTCTAAAAATTTCTTTTACCTTTTTGCTCTAACTGAACGAAGCCTGGCTTTCTTGAGAATCCTGCTCCCCCTGCAGACTTTTTCCATTTTTTTTTTTTTTTTTTGAGACGGGGTATCACTCTGTTGCCCAGGCTGGAGTGCAGTAGCATGATTATGGCTCATAGCAGCCTCCACCTTTCTGGGCTCAGGTGATCCTCCCACATCAGCCTCCCAAGTAGCTAGGATTACAGGCATGCACCACCATACCTGGCTAATTTTTACATTTTTTGTAAAGACAGCATTTTGCCATGTTGTCCAGCCTGGTCTTGAACTCCTGGGCTCAAGTGATCCTCCTGCCTCAGCCTCCTAAAGTGCTGGGATTACAGGCTTGAGCCACCACACCCTACCCTCTGAACTTTTTATTCTCATACGTTCCAGAACCTGGAGGTAAAATAGATCTCTTCCTTATTCCTATGCCACTTGTACATGATCTCTTCTTCCTTCCTTTTCTAAAACATTCCAGCTTCTTTGTATCATGTGCTACTGAATTATGCCACCTGCTATTCCTCCTTGGAAGGTACATATCTTCTTTACTCACTACAGATTGCAGCACCTAGTTCACTGTGTTTTTTCTCCACCACTTCTCCTGTTATTATTCTTGGTGACATCAGCATCAATGCAATTAATACAACAGTAACTTGGTCTTCTCTCTTCCAACAATAACTTCCTCCACCCCATATGTAAACCCTCTCCAAATGTCATATTCTAGACCTTGTGAATACAAACTTTTCTACCTCCAAAATCTCAATTCCCGGTATCCTACTTTGCAACCACAACCTCCTATCTTTTTGGGTTACTTACTACTTATTCAAACATCCCTATTCTAATGATTCTTTCACCCAAGAGAAACCTCCAATCGCTGCCCTGAAATCCTCACTTGCCTCTTTACCCACTGTCCCTGAAAATAATCACTCTTCTACATAGACCCTTAATTCCAGGATTTTGTCCATTTAATCTAAAATTTCAAATTTATTGACATAAACACTCAAGAAGTTGAGAACTATGCAATGAAATACCCCATGTATTCTTTACACAACTATAAAAATCATCAACTCCAGGCCACTCTTATTTCATCCATAACTTTACCAAGTACCACTAGAATCAGGTGAGAGCTACCATGCCTGGCTACCTTTCTTAACGTCCAAAGGACCGTTCTGTCTTTAACCCACTCCAATCTCTACTCCTTTATCTATACTAAAATAGCTTTCACAAAGATCACCAAAGACCATTTTATCAAATCCAGTGGGCAATTCCCAGTCCTCTGTAGCATTTGAAACAACTATCACTCCTTTCTTGAAGTACTTCCTTCACTTAACTCCTGGTTTTCTTCTTACATTACGGGCTGCTTCTTCTCAATCTCTCTCTCTCTCTCTCTCTCTCTCTCTCTCTCTCTCTCTCTCTCTCTCTCTCTCTCCCCCTCTCCCTCTCTCTCTCTCTCTCTCTCTCTCCCTCTCTCTCTTTTGAGACAGAGTCTTGCTCTGTCACCCAGGCTGGAGTACAGTGGTGTGATCTCAGCTCACTGCAACTTCCACCTCCAGGGTTGAAGTGATTCTCATGCCTCAGCCACCCAAGTATCTGGGATTACAGGCACATACTACCATGCCCAGCTAATTTTTGCATTTTTAGTAGAGACGGGGTTTTGCCATGTTGGGCAGGTTGGTCTTGATCTCCTGGCGTCAAGTGATCCTCCCACCTCGGCCTCCTGAAGTGCTGGGACTACAGGCATGAGCCACTGCACCCAGCCTCGATCTCTTTTGATGCTTCTTTTTCCCTTTTCAATCTCTAAATGTCGGAATGCATATGAACTCAGTTCAGAGTTCATGTATAGATCATGGGAATCTTCTCTATTTAAATCTCACTCTCTAAATGTTAATCATCTGGTCTCAGGGCTTTAAATACCACCTATTTGTTGATGACATCTATGTTTATATCTTCAGCAGAGGACATTCAAGTTAATTTTACACTTGAATATATAATAGACTTCTTGAATTTAACTTGATTCCTGTCTTTTCTTGCCAAAATCTGCTCCTTCTCCAGTTTTCCTTTTTCCATTAAATGGTACCACCATTCACAAACAATTGTTCAGGGTAAAAAGCCAGCCTGGGCCGGGTGCAGTGGCTCACGCCTGTAATTCCACCACTTCGGGAGGCTGAGGTGGGATCATGAGGTCAGGAGATCGAAACCATCCTGGCCAACATGGTGAAACCCTGTCTCTACTAAAAATACAAAAATTAGCCGAGTGTGGTGGTGTGCACCTGTACTCCCAGCTACTCGGGAGGCTGAGGCAGAAGAATTGCTTGAACCTGGGAGGCAGAGGTGCAGTGAGCTGAGATCATGCCACTGCACTCCAGCCTGGCGACAGAGCAAGACTCCATCCCGCCCCCCGCCAACCAGAAAAAAGAAGTCAGCCTGGATTCCTCTTTCCCTATACTCCACATCCAATTCATTAGCAAGTCCTGGGAAAGGCCCACATCTAGAAGCTTTTTAATTCAATTACTTCACTTCAAATTTAATCTTGTCCAACTTTCATCTTTACTAAACAAAACATTCATTAACTAAACTGCTTATCTATTATTTGCAGTTTTCCTTTACGATTTATTTAAATCTTAAATACTTTAAATAATTATTTAAATAACTTATTTTGGCTGGGCGCGATGGCTCATGCCTGTAATCCCAGCACTTTGGGAGACTGAGGCGGGCAGATCACTTGAGGTCAGGAGTTTGAGACCAGCCTGGCCAACCTGGTGAAACCCTGCCTGTACTGAAAATACAAAAACTAGCCAGGCGTGGTGGCAGGCACCTGTAATCCCAGCGACTCAGGAGGCTGAGGCAGGAGAATCACTTGAACCCGGGAGGTGGAGGTTGCGTTGAGCCAAGATCACACCACTGCACTCCAGCCTGGGTGACAGAGCGAGACTCCGTCTCAAAAAAATACAAAATAAAAATAAATAAATAACTTATTTAAGTAAAGATTTATTTAAATCTTTAAATTTAAATCTGGCCAGGTGTGGTGGCTCACACCTGTAATACCAGTACTTTGGGAGGCTGAGGTAGATGGATCACTTGAGGCCAGGAGTTTGAGATCAGCCTGGCCAACATGGTGAAACCCAGTCTCTACTAAAAATACAAAAATTAGCTGGGTGTGGTTGCGAGCATCTGTAATCCCAGCTACTCAGGTGTCTGAGGCATGAAAATCACTTGAACCTGGAGGCGGAGTTTGCAGTGAACCAAAATCACACCACTGCATTCCAGCCTGGGTGACAAATTAAGAATGTCTCAAAAAAAAAAAAAAGATGTATTTATCCTAAGCCCTACCCTAATCATCAAAAGACCCCACATCATAACAAATAAGTAAAGAACTTTTTTTAGTTACCATAAAACAGAACTCTCATTTGTACCATGATGGCAAGAAAATGATCTACAGGCTGGGTGAGGTGGCTCACGCCTGTAATCCCCGCACTTTGGGAGGCTGAGGCAGGCGGATCACCTGAGGTTGGGAATTTGAGACCAGCCTGACCAACATGGAGAAACCCCATCTCTACCAAAAAAACAAAATTAGCCAGGCATGGTGGTGCATGCCTGTATCCCAGCTACTCAGGAGGCTGAGGCAGGAGAATCGTTTGAACCCGGGAGGTGGAGGTTGCAGTGAGCCAGGATCGTGCCATTGCACTCCAACCTGGGCAACAAGAGCAAAACTCTGTCATAAAGAAAAGAAAAAAAAAAAAGAAAAGAAAATGATCTACAATTTGATTGAGATAAAAATAAGACATCATCACAATCCCAAAAATTATTCAGAGTAAATGCATTTACTAATCAAATAGAACAGTGGTAGGAAAAAGGGAAAGAAAACAGAAAATGTTAATTATTTTTATCTAGATTTATGAAATTACTTCACGTTAAAATGACATGGTAAGGGAAAAAGAAAAAAGAATGACATGGTATGGAAATAATCCAACAGAATTATTTTTTGTATCATGAGACTTTTCAGAGTTCATGTATGCAGTCGCTCTCATTCTGAATTTCAGAGGACTGAGATTATACACATTTCCTGGTGAATTCATACTCTCTACTTCTGCAACACAGAAGACAAGGATATTACTTGAAGCATTAGCAGGACGAATCCAGGCAAAAGATTAGAGAATGGAAGGATTATTAGACACTAGAATGTTTGGCAAAAGGAAGCTGTATTGTCCCTCCTACTCCAAATATCAAGCCAAATGGTTGAATTGTATGCTCTCTGAGTGGTTCTTCCAAAATAAAGTATTTATTTAAAATAAATACTTTAAATAATTATTTAAATAACTTATTTTGGCTGGGCGCCAAACTTGACATGGGCTGGGCCCTATCTGTCATGTAGAATTCATATAAATTATTTTTCTAGAGTTTGGAAACCACAGGTTTAGATGGATCCCCTGAACTCACCGATCCTGGGCATGAATACTAGCTTCCTGAGGTGGGAGTGGTCTTGCTAACCAGGATACTTGAATCCAAACCGCATCATATAGGTCTTTCTTCCGGGTATGCACAGTGCATGGAACAATCAATGGCATTCCAAAGAGGCTGGGGCGATTCTCCTGAGGTGACAGGAAATACAGTTCTGTCCTCATCTGTATGTACAAACGAGAATAGAGAGTTGAGAAGACAGGCCTCTGATTCCTCCCTTTAGTTCTTCTAACTCTGCCAATGATAGGCATTATCACCATTTCAAATTAGTCACTATCACATTCTTCTCTATGTTTATAAAACCATCTTTATTGACACAAAGAGAACGGTTTACAGTGGAGTCATTAAAAGCGCTGAGGTATTGCCAGTTTTAGAGTTGTTGCCTATTCTATCAAACTTGGGTTTCAGCAATCAATATATTCAAACCAGAGTTTTCTCTGATAAACATTTCTCACATACACTGAATCACATGTAAAAACTAGTAATAGCTTCATAGCTAAAGGCTTTTAAACAATTGAGACTCTTTCTTTCTCCAGAAAATATGCCAGTAAGCTGGGTGTGGTAGCTCACGCCTGTAATCCCAGCACTTTGGGAGGCTGAGGCAAGAGGATCCCTTGATCCCAGGAGTTTGAGATCAGAATGGGCAATGTAGGGAGACCCCATCTCTATAAAGAAATAAATACAATTAGCTGGGCATGGTGGCATGTGTCTGTAGTCCCACCTATACAGGAGGCTGAGGTGGGAGGATTGCTTGAGTCTGGCAAGTTTGGTACAGTGATCTGTGATCGTGCCACTACATTCCAGCCTGGAAGGTAGAGTGAGACCTGTCTCAGAAAAAGAAATGAAAAGATGCCAGTGGGGGGAAAAAAAAAAAGACTATCTCAACTATAGTTTTCTAGGGATAAACTGTCGATAGTGGTTGTTGGAGTGGCAATTCCCAAAGTTTTGGAGATTTGTGAAACCTAGTAATTCTATTTTGTAACAAGCTTATCCACCTTCCTAAAAGCAGTTAAGTGATTTTAATCCTTTTTGTTTGTTTTTTAAATACAGGATAGGATAAAAGTAAGGTAAAAATTTTAAAAATTTGCTTTGAGTATGTTAAAGAGACATTTATGATATTCCTTAATATAGAGATACTGCACAGAATTATCCTGGAAATGGCTGTTTAATAAACATTTAGTATAATGGAATGGTTGGTGGGAGTTCAAGGTTATCCAAAGCTGCTGAACCTTTGAATATTTAATTCTCTAAGAAGTTTGGTATTTATTGAGTAATTAGAAAAGCTAAATCAACAACTTATCAACTCACTAAGGGTTAAGTTAGCTAGTTTCTAAGTAAAAAGACCCTTCTTTATTCAGATTATTAAGCATTTTATTTTGCCATTTTCATTTAAGCTTAAATACATAATTTTAAGACCCTATTTCATATGTTACTATTATTATGAGACCCAGAGAAATCCAGACAGAGTTCAGTACAAATATTTCACAAAATTTTAAAACATAGCTAAACCCACACAATTTTCATCCTCTCATTAAGGAATTTCTCCTAGTGCCCTAGGGCCCATACTTTCTCAGTTACTACTGAGATAAATTCTACTCCCAGTTATTAACATGGTTAGAAACTTCAAGCCAGGGCCAGGTGCAGTGGCTCATGCCTATAATCCCAGCACTTCGGGAGGCCGAGGCAGGCAGATCATGAGGTCAGGAGTGCGAGACCAGCCTGGCCAATACGGTGAAACCCTGTCTCTACTAAAAATACATAAATTATCTGGGCATGGTGGCACGCGCCTGTAGTCCCAGCTACTTGGGAGGCTGAGGCAGGAGAATCACTTGAACCCAGGAGGCAGAGAGTACAGTGAGCCGAGATCGTGCCATTGCACTCCAGCCTGGGCAACAACAGCAAGAATCTGTCTCAAAAAAAAAAGAAAAAGAAAGGAACTTTAAGCCAACGGCTACTAATTCAGAGAAAAATAAAAATCAGAGGTAAAAGGGTACATTTCTGGCTGGATGCGGTGGCTCATGCCTGTAATTCCAGCACTTTGGGAGGCCAAGGTGGGTGGATCACCTGAGGTCGGGAGTTCAAGACCAACCTAACCAACATAGAGAGACCCTGTCTCTACTAAAAATACAAAATTAGCCGGGCGTGGTGGCGCATGCCTGTAATCCCAGCTACTCGGGAGGCCGAGGCAGGAGAATCACTTGAACACAGGAGGCGGAGGTTGCGGTGAGTTGAGATCGTGCCACTGCACTCCAGCCTGGGCAACAAGAGCGAAACTCCATTGCAAAAACAAAAAAAAGTACATTTCAAATAATTATCACAAAGCAACTAGCTTTCTGTTATCACTGAGTTTAAGAAACAGAATATAGTGAGCACTCAAAAGCCTCCCATTTGCTTCCTCCAAATCACAAATTCTCCCTTCCTCACAAAGGTAACTATTATTCTAAATGTTACAGTAATCACTTTCTTGCTTTCCTTTACAGTTTTATATCCTATGCAGAAGTAAATAAACACTAGATTTCATTTTCCCTGTTTTAAAAGTTTTTATATTTATAAATAGAATTACTTAATTCATTTTTTTTGTTTGTTTTTTGAAACTGGGTCTAGCTCTGTCATCGAGGCTGGAGCATAGTGGTGTGATCTCAGCTTGCTGCAACCTCCACTTTCTGGGCTTGAGAGATTCTCTTGCCTCAGCCTCCTGAGTAGCTGGGACTACAGGTGTGTGGCACCACACCGGCTAATTTCTGTATTTTCTGTAGAGATGGGGTTTCACCATGTTGCCCAGGCTGGTCTTAAACTCCTGGGCTCAAGCAATCAGCCCACCTCAGCCTCCCAAAATGCTGAGATTACGGGTGTGAGCCACTGTGCCTACCCTAATTCTTTTTTGTCTGGCTTCTTTCCATCAACATTAGGTTTACGAGATTCATTTATACTGGATATAACTACAAATCCATTCATTTTCATTCCTGTATAATGTTCTTTTATCTTAATATATCTCAACTTCCCAATCCCTTCTACAACTAATGGACATGTAATGTTTTCATTTTGGGGCTACTATAGATAATGCTGCTATGAATATTCTTGTGCATCTCTCCTGGTACACATATCTTTTGGGTGGATACCTACAGGTAGAACTGCTTATCTTTAACTAGAAAATTGTATTCCAAAGTAGTTGTATTAATTTATATTCTCATCAGCATGGTATGAGAGTTCCTGTTGCTCTACTTAGCAACCCTGTCAGTCTGTTTAATTTTACCTGTTCAGGTGAGTGCACTGATATCATAATATTGTTTTAATTTACATTTCACTGATTACTAGTGTCATTGATCACTTTTTTTTTTTTTTTTGAGACGGAGTCTCGCTCTGTTGCCCAGGCTGGAATGCAATGGTGTAATCTCAGCCCACTGCAACCTCTGCCTCTGGGGTTCAAGCGATTCTCCTGCCTCAGCCTCCCAAGTAGCTGGGACTACATGCACCCACCACCATGCCCAGTTAATTTTTGTATTTTTAGTAGAGACGGAGTTTCACCATATTGGCCAGGCTGGTCTTGAACTCCTGACCTTGTGACCCGTCCGTCTCATCTCGGCCTCTCAAAGTGCTGGGATTATAGGCATGAGCCACCGCACCCAGCCAAGTTATCAATTTTAATGAAGTGCAATTTAATCTTTTCTTTATATGCGTAATGTCAGGAATGAATTCACCATTATTATCTTCCAAGGGCTGTTTCATTGTTTTGCTTTCAAATTTAGCTCTATAGACCACCTGAAATTGTGGCGAAAGGTAGGTGCCAAGTTTCATATGGATATCTAATTGTCCCAGCACCACTTGCTGAGAAAACTTTCTCTCACCACCCTGCAATGTTCTCTTTGTTATAAATCAGGTGTTCATACATTTGTGAACTGGTTTCTGGGCTCTCTATTCTATCCCAGTGGTCTATTTGTCTTTTCTTGTACCACTGTGACATTATTTTAAGTATCATATCTTTGTGAAATAAATCTTGATATCTGGATGATATCCAATCTTGATGATATCCTCATACCTTATTCTTCTTCAAGAGTATCTTGGCTATTCTGGGTGCTTTGTATTTCCACATATGAGAATCAGCTTATCAACTCACACACACCACACACACACACACACACACACACACACACACATGCAGACTTTGCATTTTTATTGGGATTGTGCATTAAGTCATCTGTAGATTAGTTTGTAGAGAACTGACATCTTAAAATATCGAGTCTTCTAATCCATGAACATGGTTTATTCCTTCCAATATTTAAGTCTTTAATTTCTATCAATATTTTATTTTCTATATAGATGTCTTATGTGTCATTTTTAAAGTTTATTCCTAGGTACTTAATTTTTTTCTCAGCATTTAATTTTTTTGATACTAAGATAAATAATATCTGTAGTTGAGTTGAATGGTCATCCCTAAAACAGTATATCCATGTTCTAACCCCTGGAACCAGTAAATGTGACCTAATTTGGTAAAAGGATGTTTGTAGATATAATTAAGTTGAGGATGTCAAGATAAGATCATCCTGGATTATCTGGGTGGGCCCTAAATTCAGTGATAAGTATCCTTATCAGAGAAAGACAGAGAGAAGGAGAAGGCCATGTGAAGAGGCAGGGATTGCAGTTATGTAGTCACAAGCCAAAGAATGCCTGGAGCCACCAGAGGTTAGAAGAGACAAGAAAGCATTCTCTCCTAGAACCTTTGGAGGAAGCCCCCACCCTACTGAAACCTTGGTTTCAGACTTCTGGCCTCCAGAAGGTGAAAGAATAAATTTCTGGGCTGGGTGCAGTGGTTCACACCTGTAAACCCAGCACTTCGGGAGGGCGAGGCAGGCAGATCACGAGGTCAGGAGATCAAGACCATCCTGGCCAACATGGTGAAACCCCATCTCTACTAAAAATACAAAAATTAGCCAGGCATGGTGGCGTGTGCCTGTAGTCCTAGCTACTCGGGAGGCTGAGGCAGGAGAATTGCTTGAACCCAGGAGGTGGAGGCTGCAGTGAACCGAGATTGCACCACTGCACTCCAGCCTGGGTGACAGAGCGAGACTCTGTCAAAAAAAAAAAAAAAAGATATATTTCTGTTGTTTAAAGCCACCAAATTTATGGTAATTTGTTATAACAGTCCTAAGAAACCAATACAGTAGTACCTTTTTTACAACTTCATTTTCTCTTGTTGCTGCTATACAATCAATTTACTTGATCTAGAAGCCCTAATTTCCTTTACTTTATTTTATTTATTTATTTATTTATTTATTTATTTATTTATTTATTTTTTTAGACGGAGTTTCGCTCTTGTTGCCCAGGTTGGAGTGCAATGGCACAATCTCAGCTCACAGCAACCTCCACCTCCCAGGTTCAAGCGATTCTCCTGCCTCAGCCTCCTGAGTAGCTGGGACTACAGTCGTGTGCCACCATGCCTGGCTGATTGTTGTATTTTTAATAGAGACGGGGTTTCACCATATTGGCCAGGCTGGTCTCAAACTCTTGACCTCATGATCCACCTGTCTCAGCCTCCCAAAGTGCTGGGATTACAGGCATGAGCCATTGCACCTGACCTTTCCTTTCCTTTATAAAATTAGGACACTAAAGTCCAAAGAGCTCAATCAGCTATCTAGTGGCAGAATTAGAACTAAAACATAGGTTGCTAAATTCCTAGTTCAGTGCCCTTTCTACTCTACCAAGTTGCCACTATACCCGAAGACTACCTCTTTAACAATTATCCACTGACCACAGTTTTCAAACCTTCCTTTTTCTTTTTTACCAAAGAGTCAACCTTTAATGCAATAGTTATATATTAGACTATCAAGAAAGGAATTATGCACAACTTGATTTTGCCGAAGAACATTCTTGTGTCCTCTAAGAAAAAAAAAACAAAACCCAAAACAAAAAACTTTTCCAAAGCCATCCGCGTTTATGTGGCAGTGAAGATGTACATACCTACATAAACACACAGGAAACATAAATTTTGTGTGTGTTGGTTTTTGTTTTTTTCTAATTTTTTTAGAGACAAGGTCTCACTTATTGCCCAGGTTGGAGTTGAGTGGTTATTTACAGGTGTGAGCATCATAGCATATTATAGCTTCAAAATCCTGTCCTCAAGGGATCCTCCTAAACATGTCTGGCTTAGGAGATACTTTGTTTTTGTTTTTGTTTTTGTTTTTTTTTGAGATGAAGTCTCGCTTTACCACCCAGGCTGGAGTGCTGTGGCACAATCTTCGCTCACTGCAACCTCTGCCTCCTGGGTTCAAGCAATTCTCCTGCCTCAGCCTCTCAAGTAGCTGAAACTACAGGCGCATGCCACCATGCCCAGCTAATTTTTGTATTTTTAGTAGAGATGGGATTTCACCATGTTGGCCAGGCTGTTCTCGAACTCCTGACCTCAGGTGATCCACCTGCTTCAGCCTCCCAAAGTGCTGGGATTACAGGTGTGAGCCACTGCACCTGGCCAGGAGACACAAATTTTTAAAGAAAGTAGTACTCAGATGTGCTGACTATCCTGTTGCCTCTTAATATACGGATGAGGAATGTCATTTCATACATTAGCCATCATGAATAATACTAAATCCTGGCTCTGATCACTTATATTAGCATATATAATACATTGAAAATACATTCATAGCAACAGGTTTTGAGGACAGGATAGAAAAGTAAAAAAATAAAATTTGTAAAAGTATTAAATTTTTAAAAATTAAAGAAAAAAGAGAAGAAAATGCATTCAATGATGTTGCAAAGACAGAAAATGGCTATTTCACAAATGACACTAGCAAGACTGGCAGTGAGTTGCCTAACATTTAACTAACCATTTTTCGGTGGACTGCAATGATGTAACCTGTAAAGGGGCTGTCAGGAAGAGATGGCATGTGACCATTAACCATTCCATTTGTGAAGTTCTTCTCAGTTCCACATGGCACAACAGTGTTTGGCATTCCATTGGGGATGAATATTGGTTTGGGTAGGTCCCCATTGGTAGTTAGGGTGAACATTCCATTTGTAGATGGTGAAGAGGAGAAATCTACAAATTCAAAGATAAGTACAGCATCATAAGCTTGTGGTATTTTCATCTTTGCTCTTTTCTCAAGTATCCTGAGGACGAGAGACAGTGTAGTCTCTTAACACAGGGCAGGGAGAAATCATAGTATAAATAATTCTAGATTTATTGGAAGATTTTAATTTCCAGTTTTACTTCCCTAACTCACACTTTTGACCAAATGAAAAGGAAAGAGTAACTGCTGGAAACTATTAAGCAGAATTTTTGCAGAAACCTGTATCAGCACCATGTTGTAGCACACAAACAGTTCTACCACTTGTTTTCTTTTCCTTCTGTTCGCCTTTGAAGACACCGTCCAATACAGTAACCTCTACCCAGATGTTGCATTTAAAATTTAAATTAGGCTGGATGAGGCAGCTCACATTTGTAATCCTAGCACTTTAGGGGGCTGAAGTAGCAGAACCCTTGAGCCCAGGAGCTAGTGACCAGCCTAGGCAACATGGTGAAAACCCATCTCTACAAAAGATACACCATAGCTGGGCATGGTGGTACACATTTGTAGTCCCAGCTTCTTGGGAGGCTGAGGTGGGAGGATTGCTTCAGCCCATAAGGCAGAGGCTGCAGTGAGCCAAGATGATGCCACTGCACTCCAGGCTGGGTGACAGAGTGAGACCCTTTCTCCAAATAAATAAATAAAATAAAATAAAAATTAAAAATGCATTATTCTCAGTCACACTAGCCACATCTCGAGCTCTTAACAGTCCACGTGATTGGTGGATACTGTATTGGATGGCAAAGATCACAGAAGTTTCCACCACTGCAGAATTCTATTAGACAGTGATACTCTAAATTAAAACTAAAATTAGATCATCCACCAACTCACCGTCAGGACTATCTACCTACTACACGTCAATGAAGGGAGCCTCATAAAGCCCTTTATAGTTGGGGAATTAGCCTAATTAACCTAATTGTAAGTAATATAAAGAATAGACAAAGCATACTAGTGGCTAAAAGACTCAGTGAGTGATCACATTAAATTACATATAATATTGGATTTCTTTCTAGCTATATCTATTGTTTATATTTTCTGGTAGTATGTTCCTCTCATACTAGCTGTTGCCATGTTAGTATTAGATAAATGTTCAAAGAGATCTGAATTCCAAGGGTATATTAGCTAACAACTACCTATCTAACTGAAGTCACTTGGGTTCTCTAAATTTTAGGTTTCTCATCGAAAAAATATGGAATAATCAGTAAGGTTTCCCTTGAGTTCCAAAGTTCTTCTGCTATAACATCCTCAGCATGAACAAATATAAAAAAGATGACAACTCTTAGACAAATATTTAAAGGTGCAGTCATGAGAAGGAGTTCTAGTTCTATCTTACCTATTTGTGTTGGACTAGAAGCTGAAATTGGAGATGAAGGGACAGGAATTTCAAATGCACACAAAAATCCGCTCACTGAGAGTTGTACTTTTTGGTTATCCTGAGGAAAGTTCTACAGAAACAGCAGCAAGATGAGAAGGGGGAGATGTTTCAGATAAAAAGGAAAAGTTCTCTCTCTAATGTATTTCAAAAGAATGTCTTAGGTCCTTTCATCCATAAAACCAACGAGATGATTGAATAATTTTTCAACTACATAAAGGATGAATGCTTGATAAAAATAACTGAAAACTAATCTCAATTGTTGAACTATTATCTCTTTTCACAGGAAGAAGTGTGTTGTACATGACTGACTTCTTCAGTTTTGTCCTTTGTCTCAGGGATCTAAATTCCAACCCTCAGAGACGCCATTGTTGCATTTCATATTAAGAAAATGTCAATGAGGTGAGAGTGTGTTCAGAAATCCCAAAGATGAATATAAATAATAGCAGTTGCAGGAGCTTAATTTAGAGTAAGCAATATATTTATTAGATTATTTGTTTCCCCAGCTGGTTTGTAGAAAGACATGATTGGTGTCAATTTGTCTTTACTCTTAATTTCTTAGTGTGTTAAAAGACCAAATATATATATTCGTAAATACATAAAATGCTTTAACCTAGGAAGAATTCTAGTAACAGTGGTAATATAGAAGAGCTGTGAAGTGTAACAGCAGCAGTCTTTGGTAATAGCAGCAGTCTTTGGAGGAAACCTATACTATAGTGACACAGCTAAAACACTCCATATAGGCAGCCTTACATATTTCCCTTCTTCAAAAATACCACCATCAGTATTATCCCTTTATTCTGGTAGAAAACTCTTTTAAGTTTCTGGGTTGGAAAACTTGGCATTTTTTGTTGTTGTTCAGTTTTCGTTATGTTTTAGTATCTCTCTTGGTCACATAACCTAACAACTGATCATCATAATTGAGAAAAATGTCATCTTTGAAGGATAGAATCAAAAGTTTCTTAGAGTAGTTAACATTACCTTTATGTTGGAATCATGTACTTCTGCTAGTAGGATTTGTTCTGAATTAAGTCCACAGAGATCCCTCAGCTGTTTTTTTAAACCTGTGTACTTTTCATCCATATTCAGTCTTAGTCCATACCGTACAGGGGTAGTACCATCTAACTTAATCACTAGTAAAGAGAAAAGATCTTTTATCAGTAAAATGCAGGTTTCATTGAAAGCCTTAAATGCTGTGTACAGATATATCTGACCTGTAAATATAATAGCAAATATTTCAGCCTAGAATTTTTATTTTATGGGTAAACACTAAAACAGATGGTACTTAGGGATAATATTAAGTGAAATCAGTATTTTTTTGGTGTTCATCTGACATAAAAGTGTGAGTGGCTTTGCAGGGTTTTAAAGAGAGTTGCTGGCATATTTGAAACCAAAAAAACATGCCCCAATCTACATCTTTCAAACCTCAAGTCATGCCTAAAATTAGGTTGCTCGATTATAATATGCTGACTACCAGTCTTTATTTGTAAACAAATAACTATGCTTACAAATTCAGGCTATTTAAATAAAGTAAATTTAATGGAATCAAGTAATTTTTCAGAACTTTGTGACCTACCTGTTATTTCTAAGTCCATGTAACTGTCCATTGGTAGTGGCAAAGACAAAAAATTGAAAGGGTCAAATCGGACACTTATATGCCCACATGTCTTGCATTTGACTTGAGATCTTAGCTGCCCATGGAACAAATCCACAATAATTGATCTATTTCTTCTTAGATGGTTGTCCCAGGCCTAGCAATAAAAAAGATGAGAATTTTCTCTCAAAATCCAAAAGAGAGGCATTTCTATATAAATTCACAGAAACTGGTTAAATATATTGGATTTAAAAGTAAAGAATATAATCCTTACTCTTCATTTAACATAAAATATTAAATTGAGATGGAAAATCCTATTTTTCATTTGTTCTTATCAAGGTAACAATGGTAAATATTAAAGTTATTTGTCCATTAATAAGTATAAAGCATGCCTATTGGTCACTGTATGCATTACTTTAGCAATTACGGGGACTCTTTAAATTCCACTGGACAATTATTCCTACATCCAGTCCCATAAAGTTTACAATGTGAAATGGCAACAGTTTTCTATATTCATTAAAGGTATTTTTGTTTTGGCATTATCACATAACAATTAAGCATAGAAATAGAAATTCCTTAATTTTTGCAGTAAAATTCTGATCTCAGAATAGTTTAGTTTGCATTTAAGTTGTGCTACATGTATTTGTGGTCAGAACATTTTGTCTATTGCTTACATTAGAAACTCAAAACTGACAAACCTCTGCAGCTACTTCCCAGTCTGGTCGGCCATCACTGTCCTTCAGTTCCACATATGGCTTTTCATGGACTCGGTTGAGATCTTCATGAAGACCATCCAAGAGAAAAGCCAGAAGTTCTTGGGAGTCTTGTTGCTGAAACCCATCAAACTTGGGAGCATATTTTGCTATGGTCCGCTATAAATATAAGAGAAGTCACAGTCATTATTTCCTACCCATAAAATTTGGAATGAACATGTCCTATAATCCAATCAGAGCCATTGTAAGAAAATAAATAGTATAGTACTTAGTCTGCCTCCATTTCAACAAATGTATTTTGGATAATCATGAAATCTTTTGAATCTTAATGTCAAATGACCAAAAAAAAAAAGAGAAGTATTTTGGCCAATACTGTGTCCTCAGTTCAGTATCATGTAAGCAAACTGTTCTTCAGGCACATAGATGTTATTTAAGACAGAAATATTAAAACAGCATTTGCTCACATGGAAAGACATCCTGTTCTATAATGTTTTACACATTTTTATATGCATATAAAATATGTATATTTTACAGGTACATAATATATACATAACATGCATAAAATAATGTGTATATAATAATACATAGCATGTATAAAATAATATGTGTATATATTATTTTATATAATGTAATGTTGTCTTCAACAATTACATTTTCTGGTCTTGTTGCATCCTAACTTTTATTAACCGCATTAGAATTATTTAGAGGATATAAATTAATTAGAATAGTGCCTGGCAAGAGGTAAGTAGTCAAATGTGTAGCTGTTATAGTTAATAATTTGTAATATAAAAAGCTTTTGCTTTGTATTTAAATAAAAATAATGAATAATCCTAACTTCACCAAAATCTACTACATGTGATATTAATATAAAACTTATATTCATTAGTTTCATTCATTCATTCTTCTACTTTTTTTTCTTTTTGGAGACAGAGTCTTACTCTGCTGCCCAGGCTGGAGTGCAGTGGTGCGATCTTGGCTCATTGCAAACACCACATCCCGGGTTCAAGCATTTCTCGTGCCTCAGCCTCCCAAGTAGCTGGGATTACAAGCATGCACCACTAACCACTATGCCTACCAAATTTTTTTTTTTTTTTTTTATTGATCATTCTTGGGTGTTTCTCGCAGAGGGGGATTTGGCAGGGTCATGGGACAATAGTGGAGGGAAGGTCAGCAGATAAACAAGTGAACAAAGGTCTCTGGTTTTCCTAGGCAGAGGACCCTGCGGCCCTCCGCAGTGTTTGTGTCCCTGGGTACTTGAGATTAGGGAGTGGTGATGACTCTTAACGAGCATGCTGCCTTCAAGCATCTGTTTAACAAAGCACATCTTGCACCGCCCTTAATCCATTTAACCCTGAGTGGACACAGCACATGTTTCAGAGAGCACAGGGTTGGGGGTAAGGTCATAGATCAACAGGATCCCAAGGCAGAAGAATTTTTCTTAGTACAGAACAAAATGAAAAGTCTCCTATGTTTACTTCTTTCTACGCAGACACAGCAACCATCCGATTTCTCAATCTTTTCCCCACCTTTCCCCCTTTTCTATTCCACAAAACCGCCATTGTCGTCATGGCCCGTTCTCAATGAGCTGTTGGGTACACCTCCCAGACGGGGTGGTGGCCGGGCAGAGGGGCTCCTCACTTCCCAGTAGGGGCGGCCAGGCAGAGGCGCCCCTCACCTCCCGGACGGGGCGGCTGGCCGGGCAGGGGGCTGACCCCCTCACCTCCCTCCAGGCCGGGGCGGCTGGCCGGGTGGGGGGCTGACCCCCCGACCTCCCTCCCGGATGGGGCGGCTGGCTGGGCGGGGGGCTGATAATTTTTTTTAGTAGAGACAGGGTTTTGCCATGTTGCCCAAGCTGGTCTTGAATTCCTGGCTTCAAGTGATCCACCCACCTCGGCCTCCCAAAGTGCTGAGATTACAGGCATGAGCCCCTGCGCCCAGCCTACTTCTTTGTATTCTACAGATATAACTATCTTAGTTATGTTGAAAATGTATTGGATTGGATGTAATTAATAAGACTCTGAGGTCCACCTTGCAGTTAGAATACTGCTAATAGTGAAGTATTACCAAAAAAGGTTTACTCTTCATATAAGATGTTTGACAAATTAGTAAAATGAATGACATCCCAAATTTAGAGTGTACCTTTGGTCTTTATCCTACCCACTGCATATACAGTAGTATTTTGCAAATATTTAAACAAGCAAAAGAATTTGGCCTCTTGTTTATACCAAGTAAAGGATCCAAAAACGTTCATTAAGCTAAAAGGCTAAACACAAAAAACAAGTAGAGAAAAATGATTAAACAACTATTTAGGAATTAAATACTTTTATATTATTTTAACCTGCTTACCCGAAGCTTTAATGGGGCAACACTCTTCTGAGTTCCACTCCAGAGTTCCTGCACTAAATCACCATAGCATTTAGCCATATGCCCCTTCATACCAATGGGATTTGTCCTAGAAGTTTGAGAGGAAAATTTGTTGCCAAAGATTCTCATAAATCACAATCATGTGGGCAAAGATGCCTAGCATCTCACATCAAAATATCTTTTCTTTTTGAAACAAGAGATGTATTCCTTGGCCTATTTCATATTAAATAGGGCAAATAAGATAAAATCTTTCTCCCGCAGGGTGAAAAAAGAGGAAATTTAGGTGATAGTGGGTTTATATCAAAGTCACAGGTTAAGAGGCCAGTGACTCAAGAAAGTTTACCTGTTGAGTTCATAAAGATGTCTCCCTGAGATAAAATACTGTGTCAGTGGCTGTGTGTTACTAACGCACTGGATGCTTGAGTTCATGAAGCATGTGTTTCCCAGGTTGCTTAGACCTGTGGCTCCCTTTTCTGTGGGAACTGGAACAAACAATATGAGAACCAAAGCTTAGCTGTAGTAATATGCCATGGCACAAACAGTTACTTATATTCAATGAAAAGATTTTTTATAACTCTCATAATCAGCTAAATGGTGCTAATAATTCTCTAGCAGGTCTTTGAAATGCTAGAGAAGGCTTTTCATGGTATGTCTGGCAACAGTGATGATCCATGCTCATTTGTAACCCAGAAGCAGCAATTATTCTTTTTAATTGCTATGATTTTTCAAAATAATTCAAACAATTATTCTTCTAGCATGTCTTTTAAAACATATAAATTATTAAATTGCAGAGTTAGAAAGAAATTTAGAAAATAATTTGATGGTGGGTTTGCCAACATCAAATGCTGCTTCAGGAAAAAAGAAAAAGAAGGGCCCTAATTACTTTTGAACTAGAAAACCAAAAGTTGTTAGCACTTTAATAGTTGAAAGAAGAAAAAAAATACATTTAAAATAATCTCTTTAAAAAATAATACTGGAGACTTACCCTTTTGTCTATCTATTTTACTACTATTTGCTGTAAAAGACATCTCCTCAGGCCAACTCATATCTTTGTTGTGAACTGGAAGGACAGATAGGAATGTGTTAATTTCTTATCTGTCTAATTTACACCCACTTGATTGCTTCTGTTTTTTTTTTTTAAAGACATCTTATTCCTAAATCGGAAGTTTTAAAATCTAGCTAATTTTAGTACATGCATTGCTTAATGATGAGGTTACATTCTGAGAAATGCATCATTAGGTGATTTTGTCTTTGTATGAACATCACGGAGTGTACCTACACAAACCTAGGCTATGTATGGTATAGGCTGTTGCTCCTTGGCTACAAACCTGTACAGTATGTTACTGTATTGAACACTGTAGGCAACTGTAACACAATGGTAAGTATTTGTGTACCTAAACATGTTAGAACATAGAAAAGGTACAACTAAAAATACAGTATTATAATCTTATGGGACCACTGCAGTAAGCCATGATTGCACCACTGCACTCCATCCTTGGTGACAGAGTGAGACTTTATCTCTTAAAAAAATTTAAGAAATTCAAGCTAGAGCAGCTGATGGATATTGAGGCCTAGATTCACTGTCAAAGTGTTTCTTAAAGGGTGCTCTCCAGAACACCATGGAAAACTCATTGACTGTATAAGTTTGAAAATCCCTGCCCACAGGTCTACCCTTGTGTATGAGTAATCAGCTCTACCATTCAGCCCAGGTGTGTGTTTACTGGACCATCTGCAGGAAGCTGAAGAGGCATGAGCTGAAGGCAGAGGGTGAGTCCAAGATGGGATCTTAGGACAGGTATGAGAAGTTAGGCGAAAATGGGACAATTATAGCCTTAATAACCTTAGATAATAGTTCACATTATTATTTAGTTAATAGGATTGTACTCCCATTACATTTCTTAATTTTTTTTAAGAGATATTGTCTCACTCTGTCACCCAGGCTGGAGTGCAGTGGTACAATCATGGCTCACTGCTTCTTGGAACTCATGGGCTCCAGCAATCCTCCTGCCTCAGCCTCCTGACTAGGTGGGACTATAGGCACATGCCACCATGCCTGGCTAATTTCTTTGACTTTTCTCTAGAGACAGGGTCCACCTATGTTTCCCAGGCTGGTCTCAGACTTCTAGACTCAAGTGAACCTGAACCTCCCGCCTCGACCTCTCAAATTGCTGGGATTACAGGTGTGAGCCACCACACCCGGCCTAAATTTTTTATGGGCCATGCTATTACAAAACGTCATTATTAGGGGCAGCTGGATGGAAGGTGTAGGAGGACACTGTAGTGCCTTTACAATATTTCTGTATATCTAAAATCATTTCAACAGGAAACATTTATTTCAAAACGTGAAGGTGGTTATCCTTCCATGAGTTTAAAGACAGGCTCATGGTGTTGTCAGAATTCAGAACGCTGGTCGTGGGGCTGGGGGTGCTGGGATGGGGCTGGGCATGGTTGGCTTTGTGATCTGGGGGCTGGTGTGTTCCATCTGTGCATGTCTTTCAAGCTGCACGCTTTCTTAATAAATTTTCATAAGTTTAACAAAAAATAAAACAAGGATGCGAAGCCTGCTTGGATTGTTAAGCCTCGGGAAATTATCCAGCCATGAGCCCTGGCCCAGATGCTTCTAGAAGCCTGGAGGGAACTGAGAACTTTCCAAGTAGAGGTGGCAGAGGCAAGGCCCTGAAGTGGGAGCGCACTGCTGCTCGTCCCTAGCTGCAAAGGAGGTATCCCGGTCGGAATCAGTGCTGGGTGCACTGCAGGGCCGGGAAGTCCATGCCCACATTGTGGCTCAGTGCAGTGAAAGCCAACCTCACCCTCTCCGCAGTGTTCAGCCTGCCAGCAGGTGGCCAGCTGGTCCTCCTGGGATATGGCACGGACCCAGCAGCTCCATTCAAAATCATAATGGGGGAACCAAGGGCCCCCTATATCCAGGTCCGTTGGGAGCCGGGGCATTGACTTCCACTCCAGGAATCTCCAGGAACCCTGAGGTCCTCCCTGAGCCAGGGCCAGGCTGGGCACACCCTGAGTGCCCACAGGGTACGTGTCTTCCCGGACAGCCCCACCAGGACAGGGCGTGGAAAAACGAGATGCCCATGGCGGGGAAGCTGAGCAAATGGGCCGCTGGAACTGGGCTGGTGGGCCTGGAGGGGCCTGCCTATACCCCTTGCAGAGGGTCTTCCCACCACGTGAAGCCGGCACAGGCCTGGGTGCCAAGGACCCTTGCTCGCGTTTGGCTGAAAGGAAAACAGACGTGGTCAGCATCTCCAGTGAGCCCATGCAGGCCTTTCCGGGCTGGGCCCCACCTGCCTGCATCTCTGGAGTCCTTGGGGTCTCTGTGTGGCCCCTGTGGTCTGACACTGACGACACGCCTGTAGTCTGCTGATCCCAGAGGGAGGGGTGTGTGCTGCCTGGCATGGGGAAGCCGTTGGGGCATGGTGGGTGGCTCCTGGGACTGCCCCCAGGGTTCAGACTGGCTGGGGGCTTCCTGCCACACACCTTCGTCCCAGGGCTGTTGGGCCTGGGATATGGCCCCCCATCAGAACTCAAGTGGGAGGGGCCTTGGATGTCACCCAGCTCCTTGCCACCTCACATGGGGACCTGTCTCCGCAGTGGGTGACTGGGCCCGGACGTGGGTCACCCTCTGCCCCCCTGGGCTGCCCAGTCCATGCCAGGACTGACCGTTCCCACATCTGGCTGAATTCTTGGCTCTGGCTCTGGGCCCGGGGTCCCGCCTGTGCCCTCTCCCTGAATGCCCTGTGGGTCAGGGACACCCGATTCCCTTGTCTCCCTTGCTCAAGGCTTGTTGTCCTGGCAACCTTGGAGGAGCGTGCAGGAGTGAGGGGCCTCTGCTGCTCTCTGAGGCTGTGGGTGCTTGCAGGGAGGGGCGGGGTCTCCCACAAATGGGTCTGGCTCATCTAGTAACTTTGAGGGCCCTGTGAGGGAGAGAGCGAGACACCGTGGAAAGTGGGAGGGGGCTTGTTGGAGGGTCTTGCCCACATCCCTCTCCTGCGTGCACAACACATCCAGTATACACGCACTGAGTGCCTGCCCTGAGGACCGGTGGGCCTCCTGTACTTTCTTAGAGTCCAGGAGGAAGAGGAGGAAGAAAAGGTGAAGAGGAAGGCCCAGGTAGTAGGGTTGCTGGTCCGGGGCACCCGCCCACTATTGACTGCCCCAGAGGCTGACATGGGAGGGGACATGGCACTGGAGCCCACCTGGGGGTGGCAGGTCCCCTTGCTTCCTTGTTAGTTTCTTCGTAGAGGCCCTAAGATGCTTGAGCACGGTGTCATCGTTCATGGCCCAGGTATCGAAGAATTGGTTCCGCAGACGTGCCCACAGGCCACACCTGGATGTCTTCATGAGGCGCTCTAGGGACAGGGTGGATATCAGGCCAGGAGAGTTCCCTGGGAATGGTCACAGCTCATACCCTGTGGCCACTTCAGTCTCCCACTGGGCGGTGCCGAATCCTTTTGTGGCCACCCCAGGCATCCAGATGTACACAGGAGACTGTGGCTGGGGGGTGATCTGGACAGGGAAGTGCTCACCACACTCTCGACTTTCATCTGGGTCATGTGGGGGATGGGCTCGGTGTCACAGTGCCCTGCCCAGCCCACCTGGCCAGACCTCCCTCTGGGCCAGAACAGAGGATCATGAGGACAGTGTGAGGAAGCTGCCCTTGGGCCAGTCGGGGTCTGACTGCAGGGCTCCCCAGGCCCCACTGGGCACACGTAGACTTACTCTGCTGAACCTTAAGAGCAATGCTGGTTATTGGCATCAACACCTGTTCTCCTTCCACCAAATACACGTCCCACAGGCGCAGGGTGAGCCCGAGAGAGATCTGTGGGGACAGCAGGTATGAGAGAACCTGGCCCTTCCAGGCTGGGGCTGGTGGCTCGAGCTGCGCACACTGGGGCTTCAGTCTCCAGAGTCAGTGACCTTCCCCATGAGGGTCACCTGAGCCCTCCAGAATGCTGAGTCAGAAAAGGTCTTGCAACTTCTCATGGGGGGGTACTCATTTGAGTGGGTATGTGGCTCCTGGAGAGAGGGGCTTGCCCAGGGCTTGAGGCTTCCCTGAGCCCTCTCAAGTTGGGTCCTGACCCAGTCTGCCCATGAGGCTGGACCTGAGTCCCAGCCATTGCCCTGGGATGACCCCTCTTGGGCAGAGGGTTTTGCTTGTGTGTCCTTCGGGGACCCGCCTGAGCCTCCTGTGGGCTGGGAGTGAGCCAGA
This sequence comes from Homo sapiens, assembly GCF_000001405.40. NCBI lineage: Eukaryota > Metazoa > Chordata > Mammalia > Primates > Hominidae > Homo > Homo sapiens. Next base: position 5,137,260 of record NC_000017.11, on the reverse strand, counting down.
CCCCCGGGCTGGGGAAGCACGGCACTGCAGGGCAAGGAGGGTCCCTGAGCCAGGGTCTCCCTATGCCTCCTTACCCCGTCAATCAGGTTCCGGAGAAGGCAGCCTAACGAGGCACACTGCCCGCATAGACCTTCCTTGTCCTGATGGGATGAACAGAGGTGCTCAGGGCCCCCTGGGCTGCCCTAAAAACCTCCATCTTCCAGGGCCTCTGAAGACCTTTCCCCTAGTGCAGAACACTGGGCGGTGTCCAGAACTCCCCACAACACTGTCCCCTTCCCACACTCCCGGTGGACACACTGCCCTTTGCCCTGCTCTGCAGGAGCTGGGCCCCCATCCCTGTGCCTCTGTCTCCTCCAGGGCATGAAAGGAAACCAACTCCCAGCCCATGGAGAACCCGACGTCCCAGGTCAGGCCCTAGCTGGGACTCCGCCAGTCACCAGTCCCACAAGGGACTCCAGTCCCCCTGCTCCTACAGCCCCACAGGAGGCAGGGCCTCTGAGAAGAGCCGAGGGGACCATAAACTCACCTGATGCCACATGGTCTTGGGTTGTGACTTGGGTACCACATGCTCCTGTTGGTCTTGGAGCCCCTGGACTGTCCCACCATTTGGGCTGTGGAATCCTGAGAAGCCCCCAGCCCATCATGAAATCAGAGCCTTCCCCCAAGGTGTGGAGCCATCAGCTGAAAGAGCTGGGCAGCTGCAGAGGCCCCCAAACCCCAAGGCCTCCCGCCCTCCCATCTGGTGACCCTACCATGCGGCCTTTGCCCTGGGGAGGTGGGACAGGAACATCCCCTGGAGCCTGGCTGGAGGTTCCCCTGGAAGCCTCCTGGGCCAGGGTGCAAAAGGGCAAGCCTGACTTTGAGGCCACAACAGAGCGGCCAGAACAGGGTGGGTGCTGAGCTTCCTGGTCATCTCCTGGAAGTGGGGTCGGGCCAGGGGACACGGGATGGTGAGATGCTGCCACCTGGGCTTGGTCAGCCCATTTGTGGGCACCAAGGGCAGCAGGAGCCCAGGCAGCTGGAGGGCAGGAGGACCCTCAGGGAGGGGAGAGTCAGCTGAACAGAATCAGAGCCGGAGGATGTGGCTCCAGGACACAGAGGGTGGCCATGGGGAGGATGAGATGCCCTCTGCTGATGGGGATGAAAGGCATCTGACTTGGGTTGTGGGGGTCAGCTGCGGACTCCTGTGGGACCCTCAGCAGAGACGTCCTAAATGCTCCCAACAAGCTGGCAACACAAGGAGTGTGCCTTGGCTGAAAGCCGAGATCACCTGGCCACAGTGGCTTTCCCGGGTCTGGCTGCGTGAGGCCCCACGGGCAGCTGTTCACCTACCTGGCAGGGAGTGCCTCTCACTGGCCAGCAGCTGCACCAGTGCCCAGAATGCGTCCTCCTCAGGCAGATAAAGGAGGAACAAGGCGGTGATGTGGCTCAGGTCCCTGCAGTAGCCCACCTCCTGCAAGAGCCAGAGTCACCATGGAAGGACATCACCTGGGAGGGCTGAGGTCACCTGGGAGGACTCATGTCATTGGAGAGGGCAGAGGTGACTGGGGAGGCTTCCTCTGAAGAAGAGGCTTCCTCAGGATGCAAATTCATTTCATGACAAGAGCAAAGTCCATCAGGCACTTCAGCACCTTGTCCAAAATGTCTCCTGAGAGCACCGTCCTGCGTGTGACACTGCCAAGCTCCTTTGCTTTGGAGCAGCCCCAGGAGGAGGGCGTCATTTCTTGTTCTGAGAAGTGGTGGTCAGGCCCAGGTGACACCAGGAGTCCAGGCCCCAAGTCCTTTGTGTCTCAGCTTGACCCCTTGAGACCACCCCCTTGCTTGGAGGTTTATGCCAGCGGTGACCTAGAATCCTACCTCCTATATCCTGGTGAGTCACAAATACCAACTTTAAAAGAAGCAACGACACCCCCACCAGACACCCACTCCTGTGAATATGGAAATACAGCCTGGGAACCTCACTGCCGGGAATACTCACCGGGTTATACTCCGAATAGGCCAGGAGGATGTAGAATAGTTCCCTCTGCCTAGGAAACACAGAAAGGGGGCTATGGTTTGGTTTGTGCAGATGCTGTTAGTTTCACTTTGTCTACAAATCCTAACAAATCCCATTTCAGGTTCAGATGATTCACCAGATAAGCAGTGAGCTCTTCAGGGCCTGAGACTGTTGAAGAAATGTTTCAGTAAAATCCACATCTGTGACATGCAAATAGCCCAGTTCTACAGTGAGTTGACCGATCCTTTTCACGCTGAATGATTTTTTTTTTCTTTTGCACACACACCAGTTCAGTCTTTGGGTGCACAGTTCCTCCATGGTTCCAAACCAATGTGCAGTCTCCCGGCCACCGCTCCAGCCCCTCCTGGAGCGACTCCATCATCTTCCAAATCTCCAGGGTTTCCCCTATGCACCCAGCCTCTCCCCGATCCGTCAGCCCCTGGCCACCCAGACTGCTGCTCAGTCCCTATGGTTTGGCCTTTTCCAGAATGGCCTAGGAATGGGAATCCTACTATGGTAGCTTATTGGGTCTGGCTTCTTTCCCTTAGCAAAATGCATCTAGGATCCACCCACGTTCGTGCAGGCATCACTGGCTCGTTCCCTTTTCTCACTGGGTCTTCCGTTTGAAGGGAGGACCAGCCTGTCTCTCCCCATTCCCGTGTTGAAGGCCATCCCCGAAGGCTCCATGTGTGAGTGATGAGGAATCAAGCAGTGAACCTGGCATGCAGGTTTCATGTGGATGTCAGTTTTCAAATCAGTGGGTTCAATATCTGTGACACCATGGGGATGTGTGGTTCAAGTCCACTGAGCTTTGTGAGCCACTGCCCAACTGGCTGCCAATGTGGCTGTGCCATGTCATGTTCCCAGCAGACCTGGATGACAGTTTCCAGGACCCCTAATTCTCCCAGCATTTGGTGCTGTGTTGCCTGGGGAGGCTCATGGGCCCTCCATCCTGCCACCCTCCTGTGGGTCCTACCATGGGTCTCCGTGGGTCAGGGAGAGCACCTTTCACCATTGCGTGTGATTTTCTTTGCTGTTTTCTGTCTCCTCAGGATCCTCCTGGGTTCTGGCCCCACATGTTCCAGCCTGGCCCAGGGCTTGGAACCAGGGAGGTGCTCGGTTCATGGTGCCGGCTGCTCCCTGGGCCAGGAGAGCTCTTGGCAGCTCTGTCATCCCTCCTGGGTGACCCTGGCTTCTGCTCCGGGGAAGTCCCCATCCCTCTCGTTCACCCCATCTCTGCTGGGACTGTGTGGCTCCCGTAGGCTTACTTGGCTCCATATCGATCCCTAAAGAAGACATGGTTCCGGAGAGTCGTCCTCACGTCCAGGTCGATGTGGTGGATGTGTTCAGATGACCTCTTGCCCCTCTCCTTCATGATCTGTAGGGCAGGGCCAAGAGGAGGAAGCAGCCTCAGAACAGATGGAAGACTCCCTGCCCCAAATGGCAGTCAGCCCACAGTCAGCACTTCGGGAAGGAAGGAAAGAAGGAAGGTTTCCTTCTGCAGAAAGCTGCTTTTTGGCTTGCTACTGAGGCCAGGGAGGGTCACCACAGCCGAGTTTGTCTGTGGTGACTGTGTCACCGTCCATGCCCAGGATGTGCATCTAACCATCCCCTCCCACCCCCCCACCCCAGGGTGGGCTTGACGTTCCCTCCAGCTGGAGACCTGGGCCCCTGACACGGCCTGTCCTGTTTGTTGTGCTCTGGCTGAGCATACCTGGTATCTTCCGGGGTTTTTCAACTTGATTTCCTGAATGTTCAGGAGGACTGACCACACCGGGCCCCGGATGTTCATGGGAATTCCCTTGTACACTCGATCTATGAGCTGTGGGCAGAAAAGAATCTGGTGTCACAGGCCATGGGGTGACCCCAGTGAGGACCAGAGCCTGGGGATTCTGGAAATTGTCAGTTTTGGCCCCATGATTCCTCAGTAGAGGCGAGATCAAGCTGGGACAGGGTCTCCCTTCCCAGGACTGAAAGAGTGGATGGACACTCAGAGTCTAAACTCTGATCCGAACCTTTTCCTTCCTTCGGGTCACCAGGGCATCCCTAGCCTTGAGCTCTGGGTGGTCCCAGCCCTAGATTCAGATTCCCTCCCAGCAAGGTGACACTTGCACGAATAGGCAGGCAATCTGGTGACCAGGCCTGCAGTCCTCTGGGCGAGGACAGTGTGCCACCCGCCCTCTGAGAGGCTGACGGTGCCAGGCCACAGCCATGGGTGCCTGTCCCCTGTTTCTGCAGAGAGTGCTTCCAGGGGCCTCTCCCTCCACACATTACTTTGCTACTGTGCTTATATGTCTCCCATTCTCCCAGCATTTCCATCCACTTGCTCGTTCGTGTCATCTCCCGCCGAATTTTCTGTCAAATGAGGCATGTTGGAGTTAGTGGAGCTGCCAGGCTTCCCAGAGCCGCCCATGGATGCTGAGTCTTGGGCTCTGGAGCCCTGGTGGGACCCAACTGGAAGGAGCCAGGGAAGGGCAGACCCTAAGGGCTGAGAGCCTTTGAGCAAATGAGCACCAATGGGCTGGCTTTGGGACCCCGGGACATGCCATCCTCAGGCCACAGACACACCAGTCTTAGGTCCCAGCCTCTAGGTGGGGTCCTGACACAAGCGCGCAGCCACCCCCCAAGCCAGGACTGTGGTTCTCACTTTGGAATTTTATCAAACTGCCAAAGTTACAGCAACTTGGGGTCAGGTCTCTGCTGCCCCTCCCAGTGACAGCGTGTTGCCCTCACCCGCCACCGCCCAGGCCAGCTGCTTCCTCTGCCTCACTGACCACCCGCCCAGTCCCTACGTCCCTGGACCAGCCCCTCCACGCATCAGGCTCTTACCTTCGCCTCCCGTGCAGTCACAGGAGGCAGCTCCGTCTCACTGTAAGGCAACCCAGGCAGAGCTGAGGACGTGCACAGGGCCTGGAGCCGCCCAAGCCTGGGAGCCGACCCCCAGAAAGGACTGGCTCTGTCCCTATCCAGCTCAGGGCTCAGCCCGGGAGAAGGCACAGGGAAGGGAGGACAAGGGCCTTCCTGTGGCTCTGACTCCCAGGAGGGGCAGGACCTGGGAGAAGAAGGAGTGCAGGGACAGCCTGGCTGGGGTTACTGGGGCCCCTGGCATGGGGGGTGGTCAGGCCACAGTGGGGCTGCCCATCCTGGACTTGAGGTGGTGCTTTCTGCTGGAGCTGAGAAAGGTTAGCCCTGAGATGGGATGGGGGCCACCCAGCATGGGCGACCGGGCCCTGACAGGAGTCCCTCAGGGAGTGACCACATCACCCCGCCAGGGTCAAGGAAGCCTGCCCTGAGACCTTCCCGGTATACTCTGGGTGCACTAAGGGCCCATCCCACTTGACAGCCCCAAGGCTCTTGCAGGTTCTGACGTCTCAGCATCCACCTGCCTCTCCCTGCATCTGAGCCACACACCCTGCATTTCAGAAGTGGCACGGCTCATCAGCTCCCTCCCACCCTACCTCCCCTGGGATCCTCTGTCTCTCCATCCTATGATCCCTGAGGGATGGGCTCCTGGCTGGGCTCCTCTTACCTGGCCCCAGATCCCTTCCCAGCACCAGACCCAGGGTCTTTAGTCACAAGCCCTGCTGCCTCCCTGGCCTCACCGTGAGAGGCCCAGAATGGGGCCCTGCCCATCTTCTCCCCCATTCCCCTAGGGCCACAACTCCCACTGTCCCCATGCCTTTCCCCCTTCCCCATGGGGACACTGAGGGCTGTAGATATAAGGACATGGGGGAGAACAGGGGTAGGTGGGCCCTCAGAGACCTGCTGGACAACAGCCCTGAGGCTGGCCAAGCATCCACCTGCCTCTCCCTATACCCGAGCCACACACCCTGTGTTTCAGAAGTGGCACGCCTCATAAGCTCCCTCCCACCTTATCTTGCCCGGCATCCGCTGTCTCTCCATCCTATGATCCCTGAGGGTTGGGCTCCAGGCTGGGCTCCTCTTACCTGGCCCCAGATCCCTTCCCAGCACCAGACCCAGGGTCTTTAGTCACAAGCCCTGCTGCCTCCCTAGTCTCACTGTGAGATGCCCAGAGCGGGGCCCTGCCCATCTTCTCCCCCATTCTCTTCGGGCCAAAGCCCCCACTGTCCCCACACCTTTCCCCCTTCCCCATGGGGACAGTGAGGGCTGTAGCTCTAGGGAAATGGAGGAGGACAGGGGCCGGTGGGCTCTGAGAGACCTGCTGGACAACAGCCCTGAGACTGGGCCAGGTGTCTCCTCACCCTGTGGCCACAACCCTTGGATCTCACTGGGGTTGTCTCCTGGTAGACAGGACCAGAACCTCAGGCTGCCCCGCTCCTCTTGTGCTCACTTGCCGACAGAACTGCTGAGAGCCCAGGGGCCTGGCCTAGCCCAGTCTCCATTCCCACCAGCTCCCTAGTTGGGCCTTCCACCTCTGGCCTAACAACAACCTCGGGCTGGACCTGCAGGGGAGCCAGGGAGGAGTTCTGACCCTGGAAAAGAGGTTGGCCCGACCTAGCGAGACATGTCCTGCATCAGAAAGGCCTTTCTAAAAGCAAACCCATCCCTGAGCTGAGACAGCTGCTTTAGGGGTGAGGGGAGCATAGAGGATGACTCACTGCAAAATGCCAAAACGATCAATGCTGCTGTTGATTCCAACGGGCTCAGGCCCCTTGTCCTCTGGCAGCCCAGCTCGGTGTCCCTGTAACCCAGAGGGAGCCTTGGTGAGGGGTCCAAGGTAAAGGGTGCAAGGGCCTGGGGGTATTGGCCACCCGTCCCTGCCCTGTGCTCCTAGGGAACCCAGGACCCTTTGACCAGGGCGCACTGGAAGAGGCCTCCCTCCAAGGAGCAGACCGAACTGTACCTTGTCATACTTCATAAGTATGTCCTTCCGCTCCTGTGCCTGCAAACTATCTGCATTCTCTACCATGTCCATCCTGTGAGACAAAATTGTCTAAAGGTTACACTGTACCCGACAGCTTCGGAGAACACCTGAACCGCTCCCACCGGGCTCCCAGATGCTGGCTGGTTGTATAACCTTCATTCCACCACTGCACTCCGGTAAAAAGGGGCCAAACCCCATGGCCCACACCTCCATGGGTCTCTGCAGTCTGAAGCCCCAAGCAGGGGTGGGCATCTTCCCAAGGACTCGAGAAGAGTGGGACCTGGACAGAGAATCCGGTTGTCCCCATATGCCATGAAATGGGCACACACCTGCCCCGGCAGGTTGAATGGTGTCCACCTGCCAAGGGTGAAGAGCCTGTGATGGTCTATTCCAGGGATGTGGATGTGAACTGCGGTCAGGCACCAGAGGTCTCTGTACGATCGGCCTCCTGGGATGTTCAGGGCCACAGAGATGCCCAGTTTCCTACGGGGAACAAGATCTCTCCTGACTGCTCCATTCTACCCCGCTCATCACTTGGGCTACCATGGCCCTTCAGTCTAACCAGTGAAGCTGCTTTAGCAATAACACCATTTGAGCAGGAGTGTGTTTGGTTTTGGGGATGAAAATGATTACTGTCTCCAAAGCAGCCACTGTGCTCATGGAAACCATGTCTCTCAGGGAGGGACTGTGGACTCCACCATTCTGAGCTGTCCCCACAGGAGGGGGCTTCATTTTCCTGGGTCACTGATGAAGAACAGTGGGTCCTTGCTCCTGGAGGACATCTAGATGGACCGTCCCTCCTGAGAATACTCAGGGCAAAAGGAAAGCGAGGCCAGACAGAATAAGAAATACTTGGGGAGAGCCCCAGTGCCTGGACCCCTTTGAACACAAGGGAAGATAGTCTCCCCTCAGCCAGCTCTCCAGGGCTCCTTCACTTTCCACAACTGCCCAAGGGCAGAAGGCTCCCCATGCCACTCCCAGACAAGGGACTGTGTGTGTCCAGTGGGTCCCACAGTGACCATCAAGACCCAGCTTAGGCCCCAGGTGTGTTCTGAGGACCCTTCCCTCCTCCCCACCCACAGTGGATCCATCCCAGTGTCTCTGCCAGGGCCAGGCTCTGCCCCATTGGGATCGGAAATCTGGGCAGATTTGGGATCTAGAGCAGGGAGGTCTCAGGGTTGAGGCCTGAAGTCTAGCATGGCACACAGCAGGGCTGAGAGCAAAACCCAGGGTCTTGTCTGGATTCCCAGGCCAGTTACTGCCTCTCTGACCCCAGACGGCTCACCTGTCGAATGGGTACATTCGGGAACAGCACCCACTCTACGAAGCCACCATGAAGACGAAAGAGAAAATCGTCTACATGGGCAGTGTAGAACGGGCGCCCGGTGAGTGCTCAGGGATGACCCTCCTCTGTAGCTGCCCAGAGGCCAACACCGCCCATACCATAGCCACTGTCCCCAAGTCAGCCTGGAGGGAAGAGAGCAGGTCACACTCACCTGATTCTGATGAATCAGCTGGCCTGGGTTATGCCTCTCAGGGAGAAAACCTTTGAGTCCACAAAACCGCTTGTGAATACCACTGCGTGTGTGTAACTGCCGTAGAACACAGACGCAGTCTGGAGAGCGGATAGGTGCTAAGCACCAGTGACATTCTGAGGTCATGGCACGCATCACAATGGGGCCTTGCCTGGGTCAGCAGGGCCCAGAGTCAGGGTCCTCCGCTGCCTGAGGCGTCAACATGCCTGCCTGCAATGTGTTTGTGCACATGCGTGCACATGTGTATGTGGATAAACATGTCTGTGCACGTGTGTGTTGCTTCTCTGGCCAGGCCCGGCTGCCCCACTCATGTGTGCACCCAGTTCCTCATCACTGTCACCCCCGGAGCCCAGGACCAGCTTCAGACCTCCCTGACCTCAGCCCTCCCCGCCCAGGGTGGTCCTGGGATACACATAGGAGTGGAGGGAAGTGACTGCTGCTGTTGAATCTCAGAATACAAAAGCTAATACTATTACTTAATGGTATTTTTAGTATCTCTAATCGTCTTTTTAGTGTCTCTAATGGTATCACTTTTTCATTTCTGATATTTTAACTGGGTATTTCTCTCCATGACCCTTGGATATTCTAGCTAGAGGATCATGTGCGGAAAGTGCCAGGCACACAGTAGGGGCCCACTTTTCTAGACATGTTATCTAAAACCTGGCTCAGCTGTCCCACCCAGGGCCTAGGGGATGCCAAATTCCAGGGTCCAGAAAGAGCTTGGGATAAAATGAACATCCAAGGGGAGGGCTTTGACCTGGGCTTAGTCTGCCTGTGCCATCCAAACGGAGTCTCAAGTCCTGAGACAGGGCGTCCAGATGCCCAGTGCAGGGTCCCCCTGATCAACACCTGCTCCCCTGTACTCATTAGCAACCTCACCCACCCTACTCTCAAAGCACTTGGCCCTCGTATCTGGGAGCTCTGCAACTGTGGATTCAGCCAACAGCAGATGGAAAATATTCAGAAAACAAATCGGATGGTTGTCTCTACTGAACATGTGCAGACGTTGTTCTTGTCATCATTCCCTAAATACAGTATCACAACCATTTATATAGCATCTGCATTGTATTACACATAATGAATAATCTAGAGATGGTCTAATGTATACGGGAGAATGTGCATAGCTTATATGTAAATACTAGGTCATGTTATGTCAGCGACTTGAGCATCCATGGATTTTGGCATCCCCGGGGACCCTAGAACTAATCCTCCATGGATACCAAGGGATGACTATATAAACTCACTCAGGAAGGCTTCTCACTGGAGGAAGGGCCCAGTTCAGGACACACAGGGACATCTCCCTGGACTGCTGTCCATTCATCCATCCATTCATCCATTGTCTCCCCCGACTCCCCATCTCAGACTGTCCCAATGACAGCCCTAGCAAGAAGAGACAAGAAACAAGACAAGTTCACGTTGTCCAGTTTTGAGGTCTTGGAAGAAGTTGCACCAGTATGAGAATAGTGGGTCAGTTTTCTCCAGGATCCAGAAAGCATATTAGGCAGCCTCGGGGTGAGGAAAGGAGCCCAGCCTCTCCAGCAGCCACACAGACCTGCAGCAGGATGGGGCTGGGGCTGGTTTGGGGCGGAAGATAAGTGACAGCCAAGGTTTGTCAGCCTGCAGAGGGGTGGCTGACTCATGGACTAGGGGCGGCGGAGCCCAGTGGTTGCCCTTAGTTCTTGGATCCTGGGAGACTTCTGGAGCCTGGATCTGGACAGCCTAGGGGTGGAGGTGATGAGGGGCAGGGGTGGGACGGGAGGCCTTGCATGACTGGGTGCAGGGCAGGAAGCCAGCCAGGGACTGCTTTGCAGTGGCGGCTCCCATCCCCATTCCCACCCCAAACCCACCCCTCCCCCCACCCTGGTGCGGGGTCAGTCGTGGGCAGGTGTCCTCTGCTTTGGCCTTAGCAGATCCCAAGATGGAAGCTGGCAGCCACGTGGGCATGTCACTTGCGCCAGCTTTGTCCTGCAGTTTCTGCTTCCTGGAGCGTGGGGCGCCCACCCAGGAGAGCATGGGCACACCCCACACCTCTCACTTTGAGGGTGCTGGGAGGTGGGGGACCAAGGTCCTGCAGCCCTGTGCTTGTGCCGTGAAAATTAGCCTAGGAGTCCTGTGTCCAGCCGTCCACGTGGAGCCCCAGGAGCCTGAACAGTGGCATGAAGCGAGATGAGGAGAGAGAGAGAACTGGAAAAGGAGAGAGAAAGAGAGATGAGGAGAAGGGAATGAGAGAGAGGAAGAGAAATTGGGAGAGAGACAGAGGAGGCTGAGAGGATAAGGAGGGCGAGAGATGGGGAGAGAGACACAAAACGCAAAGAGACAGAGAGAGACGTGCATGAGTAGGAGGTCGAGTTACTCTTGATCCCAGTTCCCAGTGAAAACTGTAGGTCACCGTCACCTAACCACACATACAATAAAGTCTTCTGCCTGCTGCTTAGAGCCCTGAGAATCCCTTCTCATGGAGCATAAAACCTTTGACTACAGCCCTTCCTCACTACATTTTTGTTGTCTCTTCTGGTGAACCGTGATGTCTTGTCTATTGCCTTCCTGGGCTCAAGGATCCATAAAAAACCGACGCCTCTTTTGGGGAGGATCTGCAGTGCCTTCCACTCACTAGGCTCCCCAGGAAACTTGCGCACTTGGCTTGGGCCCTAAGCAGCTGGGTACATGCTGGGGCTCTGCTTCTCTCTTTCAGTAAGAAGGAGAACTAAGAAAGAGACTGAAGCATGGTCTACGGAGAAGGCACTTGCGCAAACACCAGGAGAATGAGGGTCCTGAGTTGTCTTCGTTTCTCCTAAAAGCATGCATTCCCGGCTGGGCGCGGTGACTCACGCCTGTAATCCCAGCACTTTAGAAGGCTGAGGCGGGCGGATCACCTGAGATCGGGAGTTCGAGACCAGCCTGACCAACATGGAGAAACCCCATCCCTACTAAAAATACAGAATTACCCAGGCATGGTGGCACATGCCTGTAGTCCCAGCTACTCGGGAGGCTGAGGCAGGAGAATTGCTTGAACCCAGGAGGCGGAAGTTGCAGAGAGCCGAGATTGCGCCATTGCACTCCAGCCTAGGCAACAAGAGTGAAATTCCATCTCAAAAAAACAAAAAACAAAAAAAACCCACGCATTCCCTCCCAGGCCACCCTAGTGAGGGCATGAAACACAGTGTGTGTGTGTGTGTGTGTGTGTGTGTGTGTGTGTGTGTGTGTGCATGTGCGTGTGTGTGCGTGTTTGTGTGTTGCAAGGGTTACAGTGGACAGGATGTGGGAGGGCAGCTGCAACTCCAAGCTGTAAGTCTTTCTGATAGAATGCCTAAGATTCCTTGGACCACAGCAAGAGAGTGTTTTCATTTGCACCCATTTTTATTAGCATTTAAACCTGTATTTTTTGTAGCATGTAAACTTTAAGCTGCTTAACTATTCCTTAAAGCATTTACACCAGTGGTTCCCAACCTTTTTGCTACCCGAGACCAGTTTTCTTGAAGACAACTCTTCCACGGACCCGGGAGAAGGGGAAGGGATGATATGGAGATGATTCAAGCCCATTACATTTATTGTGTGCTTTATTTCTATTATTATTTTACTGTAATATATAATGAAATAATTACACAACTCACCATAATGTAGAATCAGTGGGAGCCCTGAACTTGTTTTCCTGCAACTACGTGGTTCCATCTGGCAGTGATGAGACAGTCACAGATCATCAGGCATTAGGTTCTCATAAGGAGCACGCAATCTAGATCCCTGGCATGCGCAGTTCACAGTAGGGTTCATGCTTCTGTGAGAATCTAACGGCACCGCTCATCTGACAGGAGGCAGAGCTCATGCGGTAATGCGAGGGATGGGAAGTGGCTGTTTCTACAGATGAAGCTTTGCTCACTGGCTGGCTGCTCACCTCCTGCTGTGTTGCCTGGTTCCTAACAGTTGGGTATCCCTCATTTACCCAGCAAGATAAATACATTATTATGTCAATTGAAATTATTCACCTTGAACCACCCAAAATTACCTTGCATACCTACACCCACCCAAGGGTCCCGCAGCACACTTTGGGGGCTGTAGATAGTAAGCCTGGAGCTCCGTGGAGCATTCCATCCCTTCACCATCTGTGGGCTAACAGGCTGCGTTAGTTTCCCAGGGCTGTTTTACAGTACCACAGACTGGGCACCTTCAACAACAGAATGTTACTGTCTCACAGTACTGGAGGTCATGAGTGTCAGTCCAAGATCAAGGTGTCACCAGGGTGGGTCCCTTCTGAGGCTGTGCAGGAAGGCTCTGTTCCAGGCCTGTCTCCTGATGTGTGGGTGGACGTCTTCTCCCTGTGACTCTTCATTAAGGGTGATTCTGGTGAGGGCTCAGAAGAGGAGACTTGGACAAAATGTTGGTAGATAAATGTGTCAGTGGAAACCAGAGGGTAGACAGGAATCCATCCATGCCCAGGGCTTTCTGGGGACAGACCTGTCCAAGCAGCTGCCATTCCCAACCGAGTTCTGTTTCTGGAAAGCCAGGCAACAGCTGGGGCTGGGCCCTCTGGGATTTGTTTAGTGACCCGATTATGTGGGAAGCCTGGACTGGGTGGTTGGGTGGGGGGTGGTACCGCCCAACCTCATTGCATCACTCACTTCCCAGGCCCTGTCCTGGTTCTCAGCCACCCTGTCCCAGTGGGTGCTTCAGCCCACTCACTGACCAAGTGAGGGACTGACTCGAGGTTACAGAGTGCTGTGTTTATGTGACCTGAGAGTATGTGTGCACAGACTGTGCCTGCAGTGTCCTCGTATAGTTGAGCATGTCCATGTCCTGCCCGTGGGTAGGCAGCCTGTCCACACATGCCTAGGAGTGTGACTCCGTGTCCTGGTAGGGTCCCCTGATTACTTCTATGGGTGCGTGTTTGTGCGTCTTGTTAGGGGTCCTTGTTAGGGGTATGGAAGATTCTGCCCTGGGTGCCCTTGATCACGTGTGTGTGTGTGTGTGTGCGTGTGTGTGTGTGCGCACGTGCGTGCTTGCGCGCGAGCATGCATTAGGGGGTGTACGGTGTTAACAGCATCCTCAACCAACTCTGTATGTGTGCATGTTTGTGTGTGTGTGTGTGTCCTACAGGTGTGAGCCAGTGGATGCTTCCACTACGTGTCTGCACACGTGTGCGTGCACTTGCATTGTCCTTGCACACCTGCGTGTGTCCCGTGAGAGCGAACGAAGCCCAGCATGTGCTGGCACCTGCAGGAACGTGTGAGTATGCGTTCTGCGGGTCCCTGTCCTGCTGGCTCCCCGCTTGTCCCCAGGGAGTGCGCACACGGGGTCCCAGGCCGGCGTGCCCCCCCGGTGTGAGTGCGAGTGAGTGTGGCCCCACGCAGCTCTCTCCGCTCTGCACTGCCTGGGCAGCCCGCACACTCACCCTGCGTGTTTGCTGCCGGGTGACGCGGGCTGGGCCGGCCCCCTGCCTGCCCGCCCCTGGCACTCACTGGCGCTGGCCTTCACGGAGGCCCCGCCGCGCCACGCCACGCCACGCCGGGCCTGCTGAGCCGCCCCCGGGCCGGGGTCACTCCGGGCCAGGCCGTGCCCGGGCGGGGAGGCGCTGCCTCTACCACCCCCCCACCGGCGGTGCGGGGAAAAGGCGACCATTTGTATCCAGGAGCATGTGGCCACCGACGTGTGCCCCAGCCCCACCCGCCCCATCCAGTAGATCTCTGGCTACTTCCCCCACTTCCCGCGGGACCTGCCCCATGACGCCCCCGCGCGCCCAGCCACTGCCAGCGCCGGCCGCTGCCGCCGCCCCTCTGACGGCGCCCGCGACGACGACAAGGATGGGGCCCATCTCTTCGGAGCCTAAGGATCCAGCCCAGGTCCAGCCCTGCGCAGCCGCCCACCAAGCTGCCAGAAGACGAGCCGGACGCCCAAGGCTACGAGAGGACGATTGCAGTAAGTTTCCAACTCGCCGACTTCGCCCCCTCCACTGGCTCCGGCTTGGCGGTCCCCGGCTTCGGGGTGCTCTCGGTCCCTCCCCCTCGCGTCGTCGCGTTCTTCCTTGGCATAACCCCCCGCCGCGGGGCCACAGACCTCTAAGAGCTCAGTGCGCTCTCCGCGCCCTACCCACCGGCCCCGACCCCTCGCCCTACCGGACCTGAGAGGTGGGAAGTTTGGGGATACCCGCTGCGGGTGTCCCATTTCCGGGGCTGGGCTCCGGGTGGGAGCTTAGGCGCGGGCAGCTGCTTTTGTTCCCGGGAAGGGCGGAGCTGTGTCCAGGGGAGACACGCGTTGCAGCCGGCCGTTCCGGGAGGGCCCCGCAGCGGAGGGTCGGGGCTGGGTTGGGCTGGGGAGGGGGCCCAGGGCTGGGGCCGGTTCGGCCTCCCGGGTGGCACGCGGGCCAAGGAACTAAGAGGACCGCCGGGCCGCTTGTCCTTTGGAAAAACCTTGATGGAAAAACCTTTTCGGGGAGCAAAAAGCTGCAACGTGTGACTAAGCATGGAGACTCCAGGATACTGCCAGCTGAAGGCCTGATCACCCTTCCCACCTGCAAACCCGACCACCACCCACCTTGCTCTTCACCCTGTGGCTGATGGTGTCACCACTCACACAGTCATCGGAACCAGAAATCCAGGGCCATCAATGCCCACTCCTTCATGTGTTCACCCCACACTTACTGAGTCCTGACTGTGAGTCACGCTTACCCTGAGATCCAGGCATCCAGTCCTGCTGTTTTGAGCTATAACCTCTCTTCTGCGTGCACCACCTTCCTTCCCCTGCCACCCCACCGACCCACCCTCCACCCCGCAGGACTTCTCTGGCCACACTCCCTGCTCCAGCCCCCTGACACATCTCTCTGGCCCCACCCTGACCCCTCTGATCCATTTCTCCCTCTGCAGCCAGAGTGAATGTTCTAAAATATCTTGATGTTCATTCCCCTCTTCAGCTCCAAATCCCTCCATGGCTCCCCATTGCCTACGTGATCTAATCCAGACGCTTTAACTTGGCATTCAAGGCTCCTCAATCAGACTCCAGCCTGCATTGTCAGTTTCACCTCCTGCAAACCCCCACAGGTTCCCACATTCACACCTCCTGAACTTCACTGGTGCTCAGACACCAACTTCTTCCTAGGTGAAGTGGGCCCCCAGCCCGCCCCAGCAGGTACCCGGGTGCACACTCACTGAGCGTCCTCAACCTCTAGCAAGCGGCTGTAGGTGGCGATCTCCTGCTCCAGCCGTGTCTTCACGTCCAGAAGGACCTGGTGCTCATGGTCCTGGTGCTCCGCGTCGCAGCAGAGCTCGCACAGCTGCTGCTCCATGCTTCTGATGAGCCCCTGCAGCTGGGCCAGTTGGGTCCCGTAACACACCTCCAAGCAGGGGTCTATAAGGCTGGGCTCACCCTGGGGTGATAGGTACAGGGTGGGGAGGGGACAGAGGCCCTACCTTGCTGAGCTGGGATGGCTCAGGTTCTGCACAGAGATGTAGAGCTCCATATCTCTATCCTGCCGCTCTGCAGGGCCTCTGTGTTGGTGGCCACCTCGCAGTTCAGCCCCTCTCTCTGGAAGGCAGAGTGGGCCACAGGGGTTTCAGGAGATTTTCAGAAGTGGGGCACAGGAAAGGGGCTGAGAACCATATCCTAGCCCCTCCCTGGCCTCTATGGGGCCCCAAAGGCACCTGCACACAAAGACCCTCTGCACCCACGTTGGACCTTGGAGGAATTCAGCCTGCTCTGCGGTTGTTTGCATTTCTTACCCCTACCGAACTGCGGCACCTCAAAGACAGGCACTGGGTGTTATTCTTTTGCACCTATTGCTGTCCCTAGGACACTGGAGACACTCAGCCTGTGCTTGCCAAGGGTATGCGTATGTACTCAAATACACACATCCTGTAAACAGCTGTGGTGGAAACCCAAGACCAGACTTGTAGAGACCTGGATCTATTTTGCAGGCCACAGTGAAGGGCTGTGTGAGCTTGAGTCCTCTCTGAGCCTCACATTTTACATCGAAATCATGAGGGGCTGGTCCAACTGGTTTCCAAAGTCCTTCCAACTGGGACAGCCTGTGGATCTGCCAGCGTTCCAGCTGCACCAGCATGCAGCACATGTGCCCACATGTGTGCACACCTGCTTACATATGGCCACCCACCATGCTGAAGAAACAGCCCTTGGCATCCTTGTAGCTCTTCTCCACCAATTTCTTGTCCTGGTCATGCATCTCATTCAGGATCCAGCTCAGGTTCACTCCAGGCACAGTGTCCATCTTCACACTGACATCCTCATCCACCTGACCTCAAAGGGCCTTCATTTCCTGGGCAGAGAGGACAGCAGGAGCTCACCCAAGGCCATCCTGGGGAAAGACCCTGGGGCCTGCCTTCTTTCCCTCGGAGAGACAGGTGCAGATGACAGACAGACAGACAGACAGACACAGATAGGCCAACAGCTCCTCACCCTGAAGGTGGAGGTGGATATTGTCATTACTCAAACATACAGGGCTATGAATATCAGCAACCTCCCACAACACACACTGTGACTCGGGACTGGACTTCACCCATCCCCAACAAGTGCTAAGCCCTGAGAGATAACAACCCCCCAGCACAGTGGAGGATGACCACAGGCGACCTCACTCACTGCCCTGACCTTGCCCCCACCACTGCCTTGCCCCCACCACCAACCCCACAGCACAGGCATGCAGAGAGCAACCCTACGTTGGTGTCACCGTGCCAGGCCCCATTAGCAAATGTTAATCTGCTGGAGGAAAGCAATGTATAACCAGCCTCAAAGCCAGGGGGAAACACCTTCCGGGTGTCCTGCTTCTTGGGGAGTAGGCTTCCCCAGCTTAGAGCAGCACAGAACTCGGCTGAGAAGGAAGCCACAGGAGAGGGCACGTAAGGCCTCCTGACTGCCCCGGCAGGACCTTGGATCTCTATCCTTGGGTTGAGCCTTGGAGTTCCTGGGACCTAGAACCTTCTGGAAAGGAGAGGCAGGAGAGGGGGCAGAGAGGTGGGGTGGATACAAGTCCGACAGACCTGAAGGAGGGGTCCCTGTGCAGCCGTAGATAAATCCCTTAACCTCTCTGAGCTTCAGTTTCTTCACGGGTCAAAAGGAAGAAAGAGTATCTTTCTCCCAGCTGTTTATCAGCTGAGATGATGGCTGTGAGTCACTTGTAGTGCTGGGCAGAAGTTCCTTGTTTTAATGACTATCACTATTATAATTAATTATAATAATTAGCATTGTGTGTTCTTACACTGAGTTACTCATTAGTTAGTTAACTGCAGTGAGCTGAGCCTCAAGGGACAAATGAAGTCTATTTGGGAAGAGGGGCTCCTCCAGGCCTCACCCAGGGTCCTCTGAGGGTCAGGGCTAGGCATCCATAAAAGATGGGAACTGGACTGGAAGCATGGCCCAGCCCAGGGGGTTTCTGGGCCCCAGCCTCGCTTGCTTCCAGGTGAATTTCTGCTGCATTCCCTGAGCTGACCTCACTTTAGTGGGGGCTGAAGAAGGACAAAAGAGTTAATTTTCAGATAATCAGGTAATTCATGAAATAAAAGCCCACCTATTCAAAGCTTTTATAGGTAGCAGAAGCTAATGTAGTAATGTCCAATTTGTAAACCTGAATTCCACAAAATAAAACCTACCTGTTAGGGAGCAGTCTACTTTGGAACTTTGAGAAAAGAGCCTAAATGATCAAAGTTTGCCTTCATAAGATTTTAAACAGCTAAAGAACCAAACTCCAAGAGGACCAAAACTGAGAAAAAGTCAGAGTCTGATAATCTCTTTGAGGAAGAGGGGTGATTGGAGTGTGGCTTAGGAGAGGTTTCTTCATATAAATACTTGATAGTGATAGAGGCAGGACATGAAGTTGAGAAATTCTAAGCAGATGTGGCAGGCCCCCAGTGAAACCCCATCTTTGAGCCGAAAAGCCTGAAACCCACAGCCCAAAGTGAGAACTTCTATTCCTGTTTGCTTACTCCCTCCCGATTGGTTCTTTCTGAATAATGTCTTCTTACCAATCAAATGTTGCCTTTTCCAAAAATACCTATGGCTGCCCCACCCTCATCCTGTGCCTATAAAGACCCCAGACTCAGTCAGTAGATGAGAGAGATGGCCAGACTTTCGGGAAGAAATGGCCAGACTTTGGGGAGAAGATGACCTGCCCTTTCTACCCCCTCTCTAGCTCCCCTCTCCGCTGAGAGCCACTGTGATCACTCTGTAAAATTCTCCACCTTCACCATCCTTCAAGTGCTCCACACAACCTCATTCTTTTTGGATGCCAGACAAGAGCTTGGGACCCACCAAGTTTGGCTACCCAAAAGGCTGTCACACTCACCCTTTGCCCTCACCAGTGGCAGGTAGCCACCCCACGCAATGGGGCTAGGGGCCAGCTGAGCTGTTAACACATACCCATCCTCAAACAGTGGCGCTAAGAGAGCACTGTAACACTCCCTCTGGGGATTTGGGATCACAGGCACCCCCACTTGGGCAGCACCGCAGACCCCAAATGGAGCTTGCTCCTGCAGCTGCCCAGAGCAGCCAGCTAGATCCTGCAGTCGTTTGCTCATGCCTGGTCTGGTCACAGGCTCCGCAAAGAGCTTGCTCATGCTGGTGCCTGTAGTGGCCAGCCAGATCCTGCACTTGCTCACTCACCTGCACACTCCTGCAAGAGGTTGAGCACAGTGGGCTGAGTAAACAGGGCACCCCTGTCTTGAGTCCCACGAAGGAATCAAGGAAAAAAATCCTGTATCAATAGGAAATAAGACTGTCACTACCATCCCTGAGGGAGAGAGCACATGACTATGGTAGAATAAGTGAATGCTAGCCAGTAATCTGCCAATATAGTCCACTTGTCTTGATTTTTTTTTTTTTTTTGAGACGGAGTCCCACTCTGTTGCCCAGGCTAGAGTGCAGTGGCATGATCTCGGCCCACTTCAATCTCCGCCTCCCAGGTTCAAGTGATTCTCCTGCCTCAGCCTCCTGAGGAGCTGGGAGGAGCTGGGATTACAGGTGCATGCCAGTACACCCAGCTAACACCATGTTAGCCAGCCTGGTCTTAAACTCCTGGTGATCTGCCTGCCTTGGCCTCCCAAAGTCCTGGGATTACAGGTGTGAGCCACCCCACCCGGCCTCACTTGTCTTGATTTTTAATGCCCTTAGAGTGAGGCCACCATCATCTCTTGCTTGTACTATTATCGCAGCCTCCTAACATGCCTCCCTGATTCCAACGCTTCTCTACAGGGCAGCTGGAATGTTCTTCCTTCAGAACAAATCTGATAGTGCCATCCCCCTCTCTAAATTTCCACAGTGATTTCCCACTAACTTCAGCCTGAAGTCCAAAGTCCTTATTGTGACATATATATTCTGATGCGACCCCATTTATTCACTTGTGCTGTAAATATTTATTGAGCTTTTTTTTTTTTTTTTTGAGACGGAGTCTCGCTCTGTCGCCCAGGCTGGAGTGCAGTGGTGCAATCTCAGCTCACTGCAACCTTTGCCTCCCGGGTTCAAGTGATTCTCCTGCCTCAGCCTCCTGAGTAGCTGGGATTACAGGTGTGTGCCTCCACACCCGGCTAATTTTTGTATTTTTTGTAGAGAGGGGGTTTCACCATGTTGGTCAGGCTGGTCTCAAACTCCTGACCTCATGATCCACCCGCCTCGGCCTCCCAAAGTGCTGGGATTAGAGGCTTGAGCCCCCTCGCCCAGGCTTATCGAGCTTTTAATATGTGTTAAGCAGCGGGTGCTACAAAGCAGGGTGAGCATAAATGGACAAGTCTCTGGCCTGATGGAACTTATAATTGTAGAAGAGAAACTAATTAGAATCATTAATAAAGTTGCAACCATAAGTGCCAAAAAGGAGAGGCATATGATACTACAGTGGGGAGTCTCACCTAGCTGGGGAAGGCTTTCTGCAAAGTACTTACCTTTCCTTCCTATTATTTACCCATGAACTCTCTGCAGTTCCCCAAGAATGTAGGCACCGCCCTCTTGCCCTGTGGCCTTTCCACGAGCTGTTCCCTCTGTGAAGATTGCTCCCTCCGTACCTAGCTCCATCACTTTTCAGTACTTGCTATGTGTTGGGTACCGTGATAAGCACTTACCATCAATTTTCTCTTGTATTTACCTCAGTGAGTGCAACTGTTAACCCTGTTTTATACATAAGAAACTACGCTCTAGAAAGGCAAATTTGCCCAAAGACTCACAACTAGTAAGTGAAGAAACGAATTCAAATTCCGGTCGGCCCGACTCGAAAGCGGTCTTGGCGGTACAGTCTTGGGTCTCCCAGTTCCTTCCTGTTCAGGCCTCACGTATCTGCCCGCCTTTCCTGACAGACCCCTGGTGAGGGTCTAGTGCCTCCACGGGCCACGGCCATCGTAAGGCAGCAACTGTAACTTGTCGCCCGCCCCACTAGGCTGAGCTCTTCCCGGACAGGCACTGGCCTTTTCCCTTTCGTCGGCTCAGTGACTCCAGGTAGACGCCCCTCAGACACCACACGAGACGGCGGCTCACATGGGCCAGAAGTGTTTCCCCTCTCCCCCAGCGGCTTGTCTAGGAAAACATGAGGACTCGGTTCGACTCGATGGTGCGGGCCTAAGCCCCGGGAAGCCGGGAGTGGTGAGGCGGGCCGCCGGGAGCGGGGCCGGGAGTGGTGAGGGGGGCCGCCCGGAGCGGGGCCGGGAGTGGCGTCGAGCAGAGAGCCCGCAGGCGGGAAGTCCTCTCAATGAGCGTCTCGAGCGCTGCCCGCGGCCCCTCCTGACTGCTAGTTGGAGCGGGGACAGCATGGGCGCGGCCGCCAAGGTAGCGTCGAGTGAGGGGAAGACTGATGGGCGCCTGGAGACGAGCTCCCACAGCGGCCACGCATTTGGAGCTGGGCGTCGGGGCCCGCCCGTCCCGCCGCGCCGCTAGCTGTCCCCTCTGCCTGGCCTCCGTGCCTTGCGCCCCTTTGTGCCGTCCAGCCCTACAGCTTTGAGGCCCTTTCGGCGCACGCACCCCGCCCCGATCCCCCGGCGCTATCCCAGCCTTGACGGCCGGGGAGGCTTTCCCTAGCCCGGCGCCTCGAGGACCGCCTCAGTGGCCAAAGGCGGCGCGGGGTGCGCCCGGGCTGTGTCCCCGGGAGGCTGGACCGCCAGTCCGCGCATGAGGCCATCTGTGAGGCACGAGTGCAGGAGAGTGAAGGAGACCGGGGCGTGCTGAGTAGGGACCTCCCTCAGTGACTGGAAGGTTATTCATGGGGCCTTCTGACACTCTAAAAACGAAATTTCTCCGGGGTTTGATGAGTATCAGGGTGGTGGCTTCTTGAGTTTTGAGCAGGCATCACAAATCAATCCCTCTGGAATACAGAACTGCCTCTGTTCCGTTTTGGGTTTTGTGTGTGTGTGTGTGTGTGTTTTTGGAGACGGAGTCTTGCTCTGTTGCCCAAGCCGGAGTGCAGTGGCGCCATCTCGGCTCACTGTAACCTCCGCCTCCCGGGTTAAAGCTGTTGTCCCGCCTCAGCCTCCCGAGTAGCTGGGATTACAGGCGCCCCCCACCACGCCAGGCTAATTTTGTATTTTTAGTAGAGAGAGGGTTTCACCATGTTGGCCAGGCTGGTCTTGAACTCCTGACCTCAGGTGATCCACTGGCCTCGGCCTCGCAAAGTGCTGGAATTACAGGCACGACCCACCACATCCGGCCCTCTGTTCCTTGTTTCGAAATAACTCAATTAAAAGTCAGAGGCTCACTGGCCACATCTCCTTCCACCCACCCACCGCCCCACCCCCCAAAAGATGCCTCTAGCAAATAAAATGAGACGTCCTGATGCCTTCCTGGCTCGTTCCAGAATTTTTAGCTTTGACTTTTGACGTGGGGTCCTTCTACCTAAAGTCCCCGCCGTCACATCAGCCCCCAGTTTTCCTCTGTCTTAGCTCGGGCTGCCGTAACAAAATACCATAGACTGGATGCCAGACAACAGAAATTTATTTTCTCAGTTTTGGAGGCTGCAAGGCTGTGACCAGGGCCCAACATGGTCAGGTTCTGGTGAGAGCTCCCTGGCTGCCTTCTCACAGGGTCCTCACATGGCAGAGAGAGAGGGACCCAAAGCCCTCTGGTGTCTTTTTTGTTTGTTTGTTATTTTTTGGGACGGAGTCTCACACTGCTGCCAGGCTGGAGTGCAGTGGCCCGATCTCGGCTCACTGCAACCTCCACCTCCCAGGTTCAAGTAATTCTCCAGCCCCAGCCTCCCAATTAGCTGGGATTACAGGCACCCACCACCACACCCGGCTAATTTTTGTATTTTTAGTAGAGAGGGGCTTTCACCATGCTGGCCAGGCTGGTCTCGAACTCCTGAGCCCAGCTGATCCACCCGCCTCGGTTTCCCAAAGTGCTGGGATTACAGGCGTGAGCCACTGCGCCTGGCCAGAACTCAGTCCTTACAGAACATCAGAGAATCCATACAAGGTGAGAGAGAGGCCTTATAAATGCATTGGGTGTGGGAAAGATTTGAAGGGGAGCTCACAACTTATTCAGCATCAAAGAATTCACAGTGGAAAGAAACTTTGTGAATGCAATGAATGTTCAAAGACTTGTAATCAGAGCTCACACTTTATTCGACATCATAGAATTCATAGTGGAGAAAAGCCCTATGAATGTGACAAGCATGGGAAAGCCTTCAGATGGAGCTCAGACCTTGTGAGGCATCTGGAAATTCATATTGGAGATAAAGTTTTGGAATGTAGCGAGCGTGGAAGAATTTTCAATCAGAGCTCAGGTCTAATGCAGCACCAAAGAAACCATACAGAATCATAACCCTAGGAAGACAGTAATGATAAAGATGTCAGTATGTACATATAGGAAGAGAGAAGGAGAGTTTGTTTTTGTCCTAACTATTTGGAAAATTGTAAGCTTCCTAAGAGCAATTTTCATCTGATTCAGTGTATAGTACTTAGTCTCAGGTCATGTGCAGATATGTCCTTCCCAAATGCTTACCACAAGATAAATCAGAAATCTTGACTGGAATAAGCTTCTAGTTCCTTTGCTTTATCATGAGAGGTTCCACACCACAGGAAAATCTTGTAAATGGTGGAAGCTGCATAAAGCACCATCATCATCACAAAATGGTGTCCTTGTGTGTCCTGTTTAGCAGCACCGAGAATCTAATAGCTTTCCCCTTGTCTGTTTTTCCTTACTATGAATTGTGCCAGGGGAACAGTAAAATGGGTATGATATCCTGAACTCTAGGGTGGATGTCTTTCTGGGACAGAATCTAATCCAAAAGTCTGCAAATGGACTTGAGGTTTTCACATTAGTATAAATGTCAATATGTAGTTTAGGGAATTTGCCTTATTCCTCCATTCCTAGCAAAATTAGATACAGAAGCAGCTAATTAAATCAGGAAAAGGAAACTGACAGTAAGTCATAGGACCCATTGTCTTCTCTCATGTAAAAGTAGAAGTTGTGATTCAATCTGTTCTGTAGGATTTAAAAGTATAATGGCACATTGAAGTTTGACATACTGAAATTCAGGCTCTGTCAATTTCATCTCTGTAACCTTTATTGTTTCTGAGTCTTGAGTTTTCTCATCTGTAAAATCAAGATAATGACATTAATACAATCCCTTGTGGAGCAACTGTGAAGACTAAATAAGACAATTTCATTAAGTTCCTGGCATAGTTCTAGACACGTAGTAGACATTCAACAAATGATAACTATTTTTATCCATAGCTCCTACGTGCAGTAATTATCAATGGCACTTTGAAGGAAAAAAGATAATATATCCCCCAGCCATGGGGGTGTCAATGCGCATTTTCAAGGATACTATATCTTGGAGAAACAAATTTAATAATCTGAGAATCTGAGAACTGTTACTATGGTACTACACAGTTGAACAACAATTTTTCTTGGAGAGACTAGGATTAAGCTATTTTATAAAAGTATTGAGAGACTGGATCAATCAATATCCTGCAAAATTGATAGTGAGATAAATTTATTTTTAATTAATTTTTTTTTTGAGACGGAGTCTCACTCTGTCGCCCAGGCTAGAGTGCAGTGGCACAATCTCAGCTTATTGCAACCTCTGCCTCCCGGGTTCAAACGATTCTCCTGCCTCCTGAGTAGTGGGGACTACAGGCGCCCGCCACCACGCCCAGCTAACCTTTTTGTATTTTTAATAGAGACAGGGTTTCACCATGTTGGCCACCATGTCTCAAAAAAAAAATAAAAAATAATCGGCCGGGCGCCTGTAAACCCAGCACTTTGGGAGGCCGAGACGGGCGGATCACGAGGTCAGGAGATCGAGACCATCCTGGCTAATATGGTGAAACGCCGTGTCTCCTACCAAAAAAAAAAAATTAGCCGGGCGTGGTGGCGGGCGCCTCTAGTCCCAGCTACTCAGGAGGCTGAGGCAGGAGAATGGCGTGAACCCGGGAGGCGGAGCTTGCAGTGAGCCAAGATCGCGCCACTGCACTCCAGCCTGGGCGACAGAGCAAGACTCCGTCTCAAATAAATAAATAAAATAAAAAATAACAACAACAAAAAAACACCAACCCCTATTTCCCCCATCGCAATAAAATTAACCTTAGAATTCTTTTTTCTCCTCCCCTCCCCCTACGCCCCAGGAATTGTACAGGCTAGTGGTTGGGGAATATTTTTTCGTGGAAGGGACCGTCTTCCTTAGCTGTGGCCCTCTCATCAGGTCTGGGAAGAGGTAATTGGAAAATAGAACTCATGGAGAAGTGTTACCACAGGCCATGGACAAGGCCAGAATTTCCCTGACATCTGTCCGCCAGCACCGCCCTTCAGGTACAATTCCACAAGAGACCCCCCAAACTTGATGAAGTCACCCGCTTACAAGGGCTCACTCTCCACCTGCGCAAGGACTGCAATTCCCAGGGGCCTCCAGGGCACCCGGCCGCTCCAGTCCAGTCGTGCAGGCGGCGCGCTCTTTCTCGCTCCGCTCAAGTCCAGGAACCGGTTCCCGGGCTCCCAGCCTCTCGGCAGCGCCCACGCGCCTGGGCCAAAGTCCGCGAACGGAAGCCGGCGGCGAGGAGGATTCTGGGAGTTGGAGGCCGAGGCTGCGACCTGCGCAGGCGCAAACCTGCCCCTGGGGTGAGGGCTGTAAGTGGCGCGATTCGCGGCAGCGCCCCGATGGAACCTCCTGGTCCTGTGAGGTGAGTGTTGGCGGCGGCTTCCCCGAGGTCCACCTGGCGGCTTGGCTTTTGCCCGTCCCGCAGGCAGCGGCGGCTCTGCAGTGAGCAGGCCTGGCAGGCAGCTCCGCGGTTGTGTGTGGAGAGGGGTTTGGGTTGCCCGTGGTGCCCGCGCTGCGCTACCTGCGTTGCGTCGCGTCACGTGCCGTGGAGGGGGGTCTTGATGTTCCTCTTCTCTTTTCTCGAGACCCTTGGGTAGGGAGTGAAGGGTGGGAAGGGGAGTTGTACCTGGCCTGGACGACAGCCCCCTCCCCGGGCGGGCACCTGCCCGAGGCCGGGGTAGAGAAGTTTTGCTGGGGCCAGCGGCGCCGGGCATCACCCTGGGAGACGCGAGCTCCGCGTTTTTCCTCGCGCCTCCTTTGTCTTAGGCCAGCGGTCCCCCTTTGTGCTCCTTTCGTGGCCTCTGATGCGTTCCACCTCCTTCCCTGTGTGAAAGGAAAATAAAATCTCAGGACCCCAAACTTACTATGACAAAGGGAAAAGTTAAGCTTGGAAACTGAGTCACGGAAAAAAACTGCTTTTCCTTTTGTTCCTAAACCGATAGCTGCAAGATAGAAAGCAACATATGCCCCCAGGTGGCCTCCCTCACCCTGGCAATGGAAACGAACAGCCGAGCTTCACCGGACAAGACTAGAAATCGTTCCTCCACCCACCCAGAGACAAAGCATATTTGACTTCTTCCTCTACTGTATGTCTACCTTATCTTGTGTAAAATGCAGATTTACTGAGCACGAGACAAATTCATAATTGACTTCCTCTTTTCACGTGCAACATGTGGATTCAGTGAGCTCTAATCAAATCCTCACAAGAATGTGGCCACTTACCTCACCACATACCCTCCCTCTTCTCTCCTCCTTCCCCTCCTGCCAGCTTTCTCCCCATTAAATTGAAGCCCTCAAAACCCTCTTTGGTAAAAGTGCGAGCCACGGATCCTACTGTGGCTTGTGTGTCTTTTTCCTGGGTGCATCCTCAACCTTAGCAAAATAACCCCTAAATTGGTTGAGACCTATCTCAGATGCTTTTTTGGTTTACACCTGTTAGATTTCCTTGACGCAGGCCACTGTACCCGAGACTTGTTCATAGCTGCCCCTTAATAGGGCTTTGGCATTTGAATGAGATCCAGCTCCTTAAAGGGGACTTATATTTTTCTTTTGCTGTAGCTACTACTTCAGAAATTTTTGAAAGCAGGGAGGAGCCATCTCAGAGGAGGCTGCCTCCCCAACACATTCCACCTTGCACTGAAAGCTGCTCGGCTCTGGGCTCTGCATCTGGAAACTTGGGTTTTGCTTCAAACTTATTTCTTCCAATAGTCATTTCTTCCCATAGGCCCCCAGAACTTTTTTTTTCTTGATACATTTTTCCTGTCAATGGCATTTAATTAGTTGTATTATAGAAAACCACTTTACATCCCCGTTTCTACCACGGTGCAAGTTTCTCAAAAACATTGACTTAGTGCAGCAGAATTCTGGGGAGGGGTGGAAGAAAAAGCGGGACTACAGGGCATAGGACAGGGTTTGGCTCTTTGGAGTGTTGAGTATATGTATATGTTTAATGAATGAAAAAAGAAGAGGAGGACGGGCGCGGTGGCTCATGCCTGTAATCCTACCACTTTGGGAGGCCGAGGTGGGTGGGTCACCTGAGGTCAGGAGTTCAAGACCAGCCTGGCCAATATGGCAAAACCCCGTCCCTACTAAAAATACAAAAAAATTAGCTGGATGTGGTGGCAGGCGCCTGTAATCCCAGCTACTTGGGAGGCTGAGGTAGGAGAATCGCTAGAACCCCGGGGGTGGAGGTTGCAGTGAGCTGAGATCATGTCACTGCACTCCAGCCTGGGTAACAGAGAAAGACTCTGTCTTAAAAAAAAAAAAGAGGAATGATTTCTTCTTATGTTACAGGGGGCCCTTGCAAGATTCCAGCTGGTATGAGCCTTCTGCAGAGCTAGTGCAGACTAGGATGGCTGTATCACTAACAGCAGCTGAAACTCTGGCCCTTCAGGGTACACAGGGACAAGAGAAGATGATGATGATGGGACCAAAGGAAGAGGAACAGTCTTGTGAGTATGAGACCAGGCTACCTGGGAACCACTCTACCAGTCAAGAGATCTTCCGCCAACGCTTCAGGCATCTCCGCTACCAGGAGACTCCTGGTCCCCGGGAGGCCTTGAGCCAACTACGAGTACTCTGCTGTGAGTGGCTGAGGCCAGAGAAACACACGAAGGAGCAGATCCTGGAGTTCCTGGTGCTGGAACAATTCTTGACCATCCTGCCTGAGGAGCTCCAATCCTGGGTGCGGGGACATCACCCTAAGAGTGGAGAGGAGGCTGTGACTGTGCTGGAGGATTTAGAGAAAGGACTTGAACCAGAGCCGCAGGTGGGAAGGGGGATTTGGTCTGTTATGGGAGCCAGATTGATGACCTTCAGGCTGGACCGAGGGGCAGCTGTAGGGGGAGGTGCCAAGTTCAAACCTCTCTTGGGCCAGGTAGAGCAGTTAGTATGTGTTTCTGTGTCTGTCTTTTCTGCCCTCGAGCCCTGAATGAGAAAGAGACTCTAGCTCCTCTTCTTCCCTTGTGCTGACTCTGAGGAGGCTCTCTAAAGTCTCCTTGGAAGCTTTGGTCCAAGGAGGGTCACATCTGCAAGTGTCCAGGCAGGGGACAGAAACCACACTAGTAATTTGAAGAAAATTTAAACTGAGTGGTGCCTGATCACCTCCAGGTCCCAGGCCCTGCACATGGACCTGCACAGGAAGAGCCATGGGAGAAGAAGGAATCTCTGGGAGCAGCCCAGGAAGCACTGAGCATCCAGCTCCAGCCTAAGGAGACCCAGCCTTTCCCAAAGAGTGGTGAGGAGCAGGATTCTGTGGGGAGGGAGAGGAGAAAGAGGGACTATAAAGGGCACAGTACCTAGTACCTGTAAAGGGTAAATAGTAGTAGGTGCTTAAATGTTTGGTATCATCACAGCCTTACTATTCTTATCTCTTAGGTGAGAGACTTTGCCTGTTTCATCACTCATAAAATTAGGAGTAAGAATAAACTACCTCATAAGATAGCTCTGAGGATTAAGCTCAACTTGGGTCTTATCTGGATATAAAGCCTGGCCAGCATCTCTTAACTTTAGAGAGCCCTAAATCAGGACCAGGAAATAGCTCATTCATTTATGCCTTATCATCTCCACTGCACTTAACTCCTAGTCTATAATAACTCTGCCCTGAGCTAGAGGCCAGCCTTGAGATCCTTTTTTTTTTTTTAAACTCGCTGAGGCCTCGCAAAACACTTTTTAAGCCATAAAGCACTCCTATGTGAGATACAGCCTGTCATCACCTTTACCACCTCTTCCTCATGTAAACAGCCCTATCTGAAACTCTCTTATGTGTGCCCTCACCTTCTACCCTTCAGATTCACTACAGAAACTTCCTTCTTGGCCTGCATACATACCTGCAAACAACCTCTCCTCTCTCCCAGCGGCGAACACTAGACTTAGAGCCTCAGGGGCGTGAACTCTCCTTGTTGACCTCTGTAGCCTTGTGACCGTATTGTGAATATGCGGCTAACCAAGAAGAGTCTACTTGATATTTGCTTTTACACCATAACTGCCCCCCCATCACTATCACCAAACCAAGGCATTTGAAAAATCAAATTCTTCTTAGTTACAAAATGGGAAAAAATAGAAATGGAGATTAATTAGACTCTGTCCCAAAAGTATGTTTCTACTTCTTAGCTCTTCTTTCTTCCTTGACTTTTTTCCAGACTTTTTCTTGTCTCCTTTACTTCTGTTTAGTAAGCCTCTATTCATTTATCAATTTTATTACTTTACTCTCAAAAAGAAGCTAGCTATTGTGTGATTTTTTTTTTATATATAGCAAGCATATTTCAGATTTTTTTAACCACAGCATTTAACCTGAAAAAATGAATTTTTAAAAAATCAAATGATCTTGGCTGGGCACGGTGGCTCACGCCTATAATCCCAGCACTTTGGGAGGCTAAGGCAGGTGGATCACTTGGGTCAGGAGTTCAAGACCAGCCTGGCCAACATGGTGAAACCCTGTCTCTACTAAAAATTCAAAAATTAGCCAGGTGTGATACGCGCCTGTAATCCCAGCTACTGGGGAGGCTGAGGCACGAGAATCACTTGAACCAGGGAAGCAGAGGTTGCAGTGAGCCAAGATCATGCCACTACACTCCAGCCTGGGCAACAGAGCAAGACTCTGTCAAAAAAAAAAAAAAAGTCAAATGACCTTGAGTTATCTTAAAGCAATTGGTTTCTGTTCTCCTTAGGCTATAGGGAGCATTACAACAGATAAAACATAAAATGTGCTATGGACATTTAAAAACAAAAAGGCAACACACTCTTTTTTTTTTTTTTTTTTTTTTTTTCCTTTTTGAGATGGAGTCTCGCTCTGTCGCCCAGGCTGGAGTGCAGTGGCGTGATCTCGGCTCACTGCAAGCTCCACTTCCCGGGTTCACGCCATTCTCCTGCCTCAGCCTCCTGAGTAGCTGGGACTACAGGCGCCCGCCATCATGCTCGGCTAATTTTCTGTATTTTTAGTAGAGACGGGGTTTCACCGTGTTGGCCAGGATGGTCTCGATCTCCTGACCTCGTGATCCACCCGCCCTGGCCTCCCAAAGTGCTGGGGTTACAGGTGTGAGCCACCACGCCCGGCAACACACTCTTTTTCCCTTTTTAAGGAAGAGAAAGGCAGAGAGCACCAAGCAGATAGGAGGCAGGGAGCTGGAAGTCCTCCCTTTGATAAAGGAGGCAGTTAGTTGAGAGTCCTCTAAAGAGGCTATAGATTGATGCAGCTGGGAAACGGATGGGAAGAGGTGAAGGTTGCAGAGCCAGGAAGGGCACAGTTTTTTTTGCCTTTAGAAACCTCCCTTTTCCTTAACCCTAATGATTCTTTCATGTTTTTCCCTTTCTTCACAACATCATTCCCTGATTCCTTGAAAATATGAAAAATCCTAAAAAGACCATGCATTGTAATTGCTTTCATTTTTTCAATAAAACTTCTTTAGTGTTTCATTATGGAGAAATTAGGGGAAAAAAAGCAGATAAATGGGAGAAATTAAAAAGAAGAAACCCTCTCCTCTGTATAGTCCCATCACCAAGAGATAACTGTTGGCAATATCCAGTAAATATTCTTCGAATGTTTGTCATATATATAGTTGTTTTTAAGCATTTGTTTTCATTCCAGAAATATACATTTTAATCTAAGTGTCATTTCTTCATACATCCAGAACAGGTATATTTACATTTTCTGTCAGTTGTTACAGAAGATGGCCCAGAGCCCAAGGACAAAGGATCATTGCCACAACCACCCATTACTGAAGTGGAATCACAGGTGTTCTCAGAAAAACTTGCTACTGACACCTCTACATTTGAAGCTACCTCTGAGGGTACCTTAGAACTGCAGCAGAGAAATCCCAAAGCGGAGAGACTGAGGTGGTCCCCTGCCCAGGAGGAAAGTTTCAGGCAGATGGTTGTCATCCATAAGGAAATTCCCACAGGGAAGAAAGACCATGAATGTAGTGAATGTGGTAAAACCTTCATTTATAACTCACATCTTGTTGTCCACCAGAGAGTTCATTCTGGAGAGAAACCCTATAAGTGTAGTGACTGTGGGAAAACTTTCAAACAGAGCTCAAACCTCGGTCAGCATCAGAGAATTCATACAGGAGAGAAACCCTTCGAATGTAATGAATGTGGGAAGGCCTTCAGATGGGGTGCTCATCTTGTTCAGCATCAGAGGATTCACTCAGGAGAGAAGCCCTATGAGTGTAATGAGTGTGGGAAGGCCTTTAGTCAAAGCTCATATCTAAGTCAGCATCGGAGAATTCACAGTGGAGAGAAACCTTTTATATGTAAAGAATGTGGGAAAGCTTATGGATGGTGCTCAGAGCTCATTAGACATCGGAGAGTTCATGCCAGAAAAGAGCCTTCCCATTGAATTGAAGGGGAGAACGTCTCCAGACAGAATTCTACATCGGTCTAATCTACTTTAGGACTGGATCCCATAAAAGTTATAAGTTCCTTAAGATTTTTCCTGTGTCTTTCTTGATTTTGGAAAAACTGTTTACTTAGTTCTGCCTGTAGATCATCCCTTCATGTCCTCTGATGAAGATACTGATATTAATTAGGATGCTTTGGATGCAAGTAGTAGCCAAGTTGTTTTGCTTCTTTCCAGCATGATCTGCCTAGTTTGCCCACCAATAATGTCTACCTCATTAGAATTTTGTTGTTGTTGTTGTTTGAGACGGAGTCTTGCTCTGTCGCCAGGCTAGAGTGCAGTGGCACGATCTCAGTTCACTGCAACCTCCACCTCCCGGGTTCAAGCAGTCCTCCTGCCTCAGCCTCCCAAGTAGCTGGGACTACGGGCATGTGCCACCATGCCCAGCTGATTTTTTATATTTTTAGTAGAGACGGGGTTTCACCATGTTGGTCAGGCTGTTCTCGATCTCTTGACCTCGTGATCTGCCCACCTCTGCCTCCCAAAGTGCTGGGATTACAGGCCTGAGCCACCATGCCTGGCTACTTCATTAGAATTTTTTTTTTTTTTTTTTGGAGATGGAGTCTCGCTCTGTAGCCCAGGCTGGAGTACAGTGGCGTGATCTCGGCTCACTGCAAGCTCCGCCTCCCGGGTTTACGCCATTCTCCTGCCTCAGCCTCCCAAGTAGCTGGGACTACAGGCGCGTGCCACCACGCGTGGCTAATTTTTTTGTATTTTTGGTAGAGACGGGTTTCACCGTGTTAGCCAGGATGGTCTTGACCTGACCTCATGATCCGCCCACCTCGGCCTCCCAAAGTGCTGGCATTACAGACGTGAGCCACCGCGCCCAGCCTTCGTTAGAATTTTTCACCTGGCACTGAGCAGCTGCTCGGGAAGTGTTAGTTATATTTGTATTTATTGTGAATGGGTCTTTCGTCTGGCTCCCTTTTTTTTTTTTTTTTTTTTTTGGTAGAGATGGAGTCTCACTATGTTGCCCAGGCTGGTGCCAAACTCCTGGCCTCAAGCAGTCCTGCCGCCTTGGCCTTCCAAAGTATAGGGATTACAGGCATGAGCTGCAGTGCCTGACCAGTTCCGGCCGTTTCTCAGACCCAAACACTAGTTTGGGTCTGCTGGCTCAGACAGGGTCACATCTGCCAGTGTCCAGGCAGGGGACAAAAACCACACTAGTAATTTGAAGAAAATTTAAAGAAGTATTAACTAGTAAAAAGGGATTATCTGCTAAAGGGAGTAAAGAGATCTCTAAAGAATATAGGGGCTGGGCACGGTGGCTCACGCCTGTAATCCGAACACGTTGAGAGGCCGAGGCAGGTGAACCACTTGAGGTCAGGAGTTTGAGACCAGCCTGGCCAACATGGTGAAACCCCGTCTCTACTAAAAATACAAAAAAAAAAAAAAATTATCCGGGCATGGTGGTGCGCGCCTATAATCCCAGCTATTCGGGTGGCTGAGGTAGGAGAATTGCCTGAACCAAGGAGGTGGAGGTAGCAGTGAGCCAAGATCGTGCTGCTGCACTTCAGCCTGGGAGACAGAGTGAGACTCCCTCTCAAACAAGAATATAGGAATAGGCCAGGCATGATGGCTCACTCCTGTAATCCCAGCACTTTGGGAGGCCAAGGTGGGTAAATGGCTTGAACCCAGGAGTTCAAGACCAGCCTGAGCAACATGGTGAAACCCCATGTCTACAAAAAGATACAAAAAATTAGCCAGGTATGGTGGTGCGTGCCTATAGTCCCAGCTACTTGAGAGGCTGAGATGGGAGAATCACCTGAGCCTGGGAGGTTGAGGCTACAGTAAGTCATGATCACACCACTGCACCCCAGTCTGGGTGATGGAGTGAGACTCTGCGTCAAAAAATACAGGAATAGCAGAAAAGGGAACAACTACTACCTCTAGGGCTGAGGGAGAATTCTCAAGAAGCAAACTTCTAAGAGTCCACACCCCCCTGACCAAGATTGAAATTGAGACCTTATTGTATAGGGTGTGGCTAGTCCAGTGTTGTGCTAGAGCCGGTCGGTACAGGCTGGCAAGAGCCAGTTTTGTGCATCCCTTCCCAAGTCTGCACTGAAGTTAGCCATGGTGGGAGTATTCACGCCATGGAAATCAGCATATGCAGCAAATGGGAGACTTTTTGGTTTTGAACTAGCTATTAGCTAGTTGATAAATATCTACCAACACAAGCCAGGCACAGTAGCAGGTACGTATAGTCCCAGCTACTTGGAGGCCAAGGTCGTCCAGCCTGGGCAACATAGCAAAATCCTATCTAAAAATTAAAAAAAAAAAAATTTTTTTTTAAGTGTACCTGTTGTATAGAGTGCAAGGGACAAATGCATTTGATGAGGTTGGAGAGATGAAGTGTAGCAGATATCAAGGCCTTTTAAGCCACCTAAGGGATTTGGATTTAAGAGCAGTAGGGAGCCATTACTAGGGAGTGACACCGTCAGTTACTCAGTTGTGTACTTCAGAAAGATCACGTCATCTGCAGTGTGGAAAACTGAAAACGGACTCTTATTAGGAGACTTGTAACCTCCAAGTAATATGGCTACCTAAACTGAGGGAGTGGCCTTGGGGATGTAGAAGAGGAGACAGATTTGGAAAGTATGAAAGGGGCAAGATCAGTAGGACTTTTGGGGGTAGATCTGACTGCCAGGCAGAAACCAGCCCACCCTCCCTCTAGACTCCAGCTCAGTTTATGCTTCAAGCCAAACAGTGCAAATGGCTCTAAGTTTTCCTACCAAGAGCCTTAGGCTCTGTCCAGGAGCCCCATTCTACAGGCCTTTCTCAGGCACCTGCCTCTGTACACACCCAAGAGGACCCTGAGGCCAGAGGTGGCAGAGTAGCTGCCCTACAGACAGTGTGGCCGTAAGCCCTGGGGGCGAGGGAGGAGAGCTGCAAACCAGGGAGCACAAGGAAATGGGGAAGCTTTGGGCTTAGGGTTAAGGGAGTCACTTTCCTCTTCCAGGCACCCGAAAATTACTGAAGCGGTGTTTGAACTGTACTACTAACCTTCAGAAGGAGGCTTTATGTTGCAATGTTACGGATGAAGAAAAAGACTAAAATAGATGAAATAGTTTGTCCAAGGCCACATAATTGATAAGTGCCAGAGCCAAGATCTGAACCTAAATATGATTTCAAAGCCCGTGCACACGGTACTCTTTACTCAGAGCTGCAAGGAAGAAAAGTGGGGCTTTTGCATTTCTAACTTGAATTGTGGAGCAGAGAAAGCCAAACTCACTGTCCCAATCACCACTGCTTCCCAGACACATGAGTGCTTGGTCCCACTGATGAGACTGTCTCTACTGCCCAGGAACCAATGCAAAATTTAATTAAATTTAAAATTAAATGTAATTGAATGGGCATGGTGGCTCATGCCTGTAATCCCAGCACTTTGGGAAGCCAAGGTGGGTGGATCACCTGAGCTCAGGAGTTTGACACCAGCCTGGCCAACATGGTGAAACCCTGTCTCTACTAAAATTACAAAAAATTAGCTGGGTATGGTGGCGGGTGCCTGTAATCCCAGCTACTCAGGAGGCTGAGGCAGGAGAATCGCTTGAACCCAGGAAGCGGAGGTTGCAGTGAGCCGAGATCACGCCACTGCTCTCCAGCCTGGACAACAAGAGCGAAACTCCATCTCAAAAAAAAAAAAAAAAAAAAAAAAAAAAGATTAAATGTAATTAATTCTTGTTAATTCTTCAAATTAATGCTGTCACCTTAATTGCTTAATGGAACAATGAGAAATGAAGGTCTTTATTTAAAAAATGAAAGCCTTGAAAGAGTTCCATCAGCCACAGAATTGGCATACACATAAACCTTACATCAAATGAGCAAATCTGGCTGGGCGCAGTTGCTCACGCCTGTAATCCTAGCATTTTGGGGGGCTGAGGTAGGCGGATCACTTGAGCTCAGAAGTTCCAGACCAGCCTGGGAAACATGGCAAAACCTCATCTCTACAAAAAATACAAAAATTCGCCAGGCATGGTGGCACACACCAGTAATCCCAGCTACTTGAGGGGCTGACAGAAAAGGATTGGTTGAACCTGGGAGGTGGAGGCTACAGTGAGCCGAGATTGCGCCAGTGCACTCTAGCCTGGGTGACAAAGTGAGACCCTGTTAAAAAAAAAATAGAAACAAATTTCTTTTTTCTGCTTCCAACCATGAAACCATGATGGAGTAACAGGGACTGAATTTACCATCCCACATTAAAAAGCCAGATAAAATATATGAAACAATAATTTTCAGAACTGGGCAACAGGCAATGTGAAAGAGCCCTGAGGGAAGGGAAACAAATGAGAGGAGTCCTCGCACTGGCCCAGTTTTCTTTTCTTTTTTTTTTTTTTTTTTGAGACAGGGTCTCATGCTGATAGTTCACTGCGGCCTCGACCTCCTAGACTTCCAAGTAGCTGGGACTACAGGTGCACAGCACCACACCTGGCTGATATTTGTATTTTTTGTAGGGACAGGGTTTTGCCATGTTGCCCAGGCTGGTCTGGAACTCCTGGGCTCAAGTGATCCTCCTGCCTGGGCCTCTTAAAGTGCTGGGATTACAGGCGTGAGGCACCGCGCCTGGCCTGGCCCAGCCCAGCTTTCTATAGGGTGAGTTTCTAGGCTGCAGTGCCAGAAGGAGGAACCCAAACAGCCAGCAGACTCCCTGAGTTGAGGAGACAGACTTGAGAATTCAGAGAGGATGTGGTAGAAGAGCACCAGAGAGGAGAGAGTCGCACAGGGCTCCAGAGATCTGCAGGTAGTTCCCTCAGTTCAACTGAGGACTGATCAGCACAAGTGTTCACAGAATGTCTCCCTCTGGACCCAGCCCTGGACTGGACAATGCCTGGGACTCGAAGGTGATTCAAACCTAGTGTCTGCCCTTGGGGAGGTCCCGGTCTAGTGGGGAAGATGGACTAAGTCAACAACTGTGAATCAATCCTTGGCCTTAGGAGCCCTTGGGAGGAAACTGCTACTGCCAGGGGATTGGAGGAGTGTCAGGGAAGGCCTCAGAGGACAAGCCCTTTGCAATGGTCCTTGAAGCTAGAAGTAAAGAAGGGTGGGGGTGGGTGTTAAATGGACAGCGGTGCCCTGGGAGGAGGGATGGAGTCTGTAAAGGCAAGGAGGCATCAAAGTGCTGGGTGTATGTGAGTATAAGCAGATCAGGGTGGCTCGTGCATGGTGCTGGTGCCGGTGCTGGGATGGGAGGTTCTGGGACCAGTTGTCAAGGGTCTTGAATGCCACAGAAAGGATTTTTCCCCCAGGATGCCATGGGCTCCAGGGGCAGGGTGAGAGTGGGGAAAAGCGTCCTGAGAAGTAAGGGGTATGATGAGAGCTGTAATTTCCAAAGCGTGGGGAGGATGGACAGGAGGCTGGTGAGGAGTATGAAAGAAAGATTTTTGAGGAGGATACAGGCAAAAGATCTGATTTCTTCTTCCTTTGCTTTTCACGGCTGATAGGGATGTGTTTTTTTGTTTGTTTTTTGAGATGGAGTTTCGCCCTTGTTGCTGAGGCTGGAGTGCAATGGCACAATGTCGGCTCACCGCAACCTCCACCTCCTGGGTTCAAGCGATTCTTCTGCCTCAGCCTCCTGCGTAGCTGAGATTACAGGCATGTGCCACCTCGCCCGGCTAATTTTGTATTTTTAGTAGAGACGGGGGTTTCTCCATGTTGGTCAGGCTGGTCTCGAACTCCCGACCTCAGGTGATCTGCCCACCTCAGCTTCCCAAAGTGGCATGAGCCACAGCGCCCGGCGTGGATGTGTTTAAAGCAACCTGTGGCTATCTTGTTTTTGAGTAAATGGTATGATAAATTCCCTCAACTAAAGAAAGGTTTTGGTTCACCTGTTCAACACTGTACTTGCCCACATCACAGAAAAATCAGATCATCATTTGTTGCCTCTTATTCATTCATTCATTTATTGATTTTTGAGTGGCAACCCTGGGGTGAACACTATTCTACAAGTTAGCCCTGTCCTCAAGGAGCAAAGCAAAATTACTGCCCCCAGTGAAGAAGAGGAAAGATCAAAGTTTCATGTCACAATGAAAGTGTCCTACAGTGAGTAAGTCCCCATATCCCTGGGCACTGTGCATGCTCGGATGCTGAAGTTGATGAGAACTGGGCTGGTCTTTCCCACACTGGCATTCAAAGGTCCTCTCCAGTGTGAATTTCCTGATGAACTCGAAGGTGAGAATTCCATCTCAAGGCTTTCCCACACTCTACATACTAGTGTTTCTCACCAGCGTGAACATGAATGCAGAGGAATCTCCCACCTCCACCTGAAGGCATGAAGCTCTCCCAGGTCCTTCCCACATTCAGGGCACTCCTGGGATTCCCCTGCCTTCAGAGTCAGTGGAATGGAACCTAGATTTATAGTGCCTACTCTAACTAAATCCCTCCGCACCCCCATCCACATTCCAGCTTGGAGAATGCGCGACATACCCAGCTGACAAAGGGCATAGAAGCATTTGCTCTTTTCTTTCTACTTTTTCTATTTTTTTTTTTTTTTTCCTGAGACAGAGTCTCGCTGTGTCACCCAGGCTGGAGTGCAGTGGCGCAATCTCGGCTCACTGCAACCTCCACCTCCCAGGTTCAAGCAATTCTCCTGCCTCAGCCTCCCGAGTAGCTGGGATTACAGGCGCGTGCCACCATGCCCGGCCAATTTTTGTTCTTTTAGTAGAGACAGGGTTTTACCATGTTGACCAGGCTGGTCTCAAACTCCTGACCTCAGGCAATCCACCCGCCTCAGCCTCCGAAAGTGCTGGGATTACAGGCGTGAGCCATCTCGCCTGGACCGCATTTGCTCCTTTCTTGATGATTCTCTGGATAATCTGCCAGAAAGCCTCCCAGACCTCTGCCCACTCCCAGCACATAACCACCGTCCCTCTTAGCCAAAGGCCTCAAATGATCAACTCCACTGTCTCTGACACTCATAACTTCCATACTTCTCTTTTTCTTAATTTTTTTTTTTTTTTTTTTTTGAGACGGAGTCTCACTCTGTCACCCAGGCTGGAGTGCAGTGGGGCATTCTCAGCTCACTGCAACCTCTGCCTCCCAGGTTCAAGCGATTCTTCTGCCTTGGCCTCCCGAGTAGCTGGGACTACAGGCGCCTGGCACCACGCCGGGCTAATTTTTTTGTATTTTTAGTACACACAGGGTTTCACCAGGTTGGCCAGGCTGGTCTCAAACTCCTGACCTCGTGATCCACCCGCCTCAGCCTCCCAAAGTCCTGGGATTACAGGCGTGAGCCACCGCGCCCAGCCCTTGGTTTTTTTTTTTTTTTTTTTTTTTTTTTTTTTGAGACGGAGTCTGGCTCTGTCGCCCAGGCTGGAGTGCAATGGCGCGATCTCGGCTCACTGCAACATCTGCCTCCCGGGTTCAAGTGATTCTCTTGCCTCAGCCTCCCGAGTAGCTGGGATTACAGGTATACGCCACCACGCCCAGCTAATTTTTGTATTTTTAGTAGAGACGGGGTTTCACCATGTTGGCCAGGCTGGTCTCGAACTCCTGACCTCAAGTGATCCACCCGCCTAGGCCTCCCAAAGTGCTGGGATTACAGGCGTGAGCCACGGCGCCCGGCCCTCCATACCTATCTTCTTAGCCCCTCTGACAGTCTTAGACGACAGTGACTTCTTTCTAAAGCCAACCCTGCCTTTCGTGTTTTGAGTCTATGCTTCCCGACTGCAAATAAGTTTAATTGTAATAATTAGATATTAAATAGTTATATTAGGCCTGGTTTGGTGTCCAGAAGAGCCTGGGCCGTGGAAGGGACTCCGTAAATATCCGTGAGATGTGAAACGTCCTCACAAACTGCAAATCCCAGCAGGCGGAGAGACAAAAGTACAGGCCCATTGATTTGCCCCCAACTGCCACCCCGACCCCACCCCGCACACGCACGCGGGAGCCTCCGCGGACGCCCCAGAGCCCGCCCGGTGCGGTGGGGGGGCGGGGTTCCTCGGCCCTCAGCGTCCGACCCCACTGGTCCCCGGCAGAAAGACCCGCCGGATGGCAGCTAATCCGCGCATGGCGCGCCGCCCTCAGCCCTCGAGCCCAACCCCCGGCTGCCGAGGTCCTGCGCTAACGAGGGGTCCTCCCGGAGTCCTAGAGAGGCCTCGCGACAGACACGCTTCCGCCTGCGCCGCCGGGGCTCTTACCTCTCGGATACCGGGCTGGCTGGCCTCTAGCGCATTTGGGGACTTTTTGGAGACGACAAGTACCAACAGAGTTGGGTCCACCAGAAGACACCTGCCTGTGAAGAGTACATGGTGTTCTTGTCCGCGGTACTGCAGGAGAGTGGAGTGGCCGTGGATTCCCAGGACTAGGAGACAAGGACATGGGAAGGACGCCTGGGGGATTGGAAAGGGGCCCGAGCTCGGGTACCGGGGCTCCTGAAATGGGCTTCCGCTGTCCGCTCGGTCACTGCCCTCAAGCCACCTTCCTCCTTCCCTTATGTGCATCGTGCTGGCTCAGCGCTTCGAGGAGAGGGACAGGTGGGCGCCACGCTGCATGGCCGCCCTGCGTTTGGGACCCTTTCCTGCTCCGCAGCGCTGACGCCGCTGGACTGTTCAGGCGCCCGCTAGTGTCGGCGCTTACCCGCCGCGCCCAGCGCAGGTGCTTCACGTCGCAGGCGGCCAGCGAGTGGTTGACGACTGTGTCCACCTGCGCTGCTGAGGCTGCTCCCTTCCTCATGTGATCGCCAGAATCGTCCCCGCTCCTTCCCACTGGGCTTTTACTGAGGTCCAGCTGACCTCCATTTGCAGGGGTTCACCCAGGCAGGTCTTTTTGACATAGCTTCATTCCAAAAGCTGAGGGGTGCGGTGAAGAGGAAATTATTGGGGAAGTGACTCGGTCTTTTTTTTTTTTTTAAGTTAAATGTTTGATTTGGGGAACAGGGTTCAGAGGATGAGTTTCAGGAAGTCCATAAATTATCTGAAACTGCATGTACATTTTTCCGGGCAGAGCTTTCCTGGTT
Source organism: Homo sapiens (assembly GCF_000001405.40). Taxonomy (NCBI): domain Eukaryota; kingdom Metazoa; phylum Chordata; class Mammalia; order Primates; family Hominidae; genus Homo; species Homo sapiens. The sequence continues at coordinate 5,096,813 of NC_000017.11, read as the reverse complement.
CTCAAAGAAGATTCATGACTTAACAGCATTAAGAACCTGGCATCCGCCAGGAGTCAGAACACTTGTAAAAATTTAATGGTAAACAATCAGCAGCACCCGCCGCCACCCTGAAATTTCAGTAATAAGGTGATTTTTTGTTAAAGGCCATACAAATGGTCCGGAATATTTTAAGTTGCTAATCATGAAGAAAAACGTGTATACCAACACACGCACAATAGATAACACTTGTCCTGTTATTTAAGATGAAGGATCTCACCAAGCAAAGCAGATCAAGGACACAGAATGTACACTGTATGCAAAACCAGAAGCTAACAAGCATGTGGGGGTATTTAGGTAAGGTGAAACTTACAAGGTGGGGATGAAACTGGTAAACAAAGTCCTTATTAAATCCATAGTGAAACATAATGCAATTTGGAATAAACATGACAAAGGCATTGTATCAATAAAATAGTAAAGAAATATTTTATTTACCTAAGGTGTTAGTATACCATTAAAATTAGGGAAGGAAGAAAATTTTGTACATGGGCATAGCTTCAAAAATTCTGAAGGGTATTTCTGGGTATTTAGATAGGACTTTTAAGATTGAGGCCTGTGCGGTTTTTTAATGGGTCTAAAATTAAGACAATTCATGTCCTTTCCTTGATAGTATTTGCACAAATCATCATTACCAGTCACGACTGTGGTCAGATGCTGACTCCCAAGTAAGTCGAAGAGGGAGGCAAACAGAAGGAAAAGAGAAATCTTCCTGAGATATCTGGGTAAGACATGAAGAGGACAGAGAATTGAGGTTAAGGATTTGCGTATATGTACCTAATAAGATACAAGTGATTTCATTCACCAGAAATCTGGGGCGGGGCGGGGAATATGTATCTATATATGGTAGACTTTTCTGGGAATGAGACGTGAGACCTCCCCCTTAAGAACATGGTCAGGTACAACAGGTCACTAAATTGCCTCCTAATGTTCAAATGAATGAATGGTGAACTAGAGGAAGTTTTGCTGAGCAGGAATGGGTTTAAGAGGGTAATTGAGCTAGGGCCAGGGGAGGCGAGGTGATGGATTGGATATCTAGTAGGCAAAAAGAAGTTGAGGTGACTGAGCCTTGAGAGGGGAGGACAAGAGGAAAACCTTCATTGGTTTGGCCAGTAAGGTACTTCTGAGAACAAAATGTCTAATAGGATGCACAATGTGAACTCTTCTCCTTTGCTTACACACTATCTTCAGTGAAGTCCATATTGCTCAGGGGTGTTTGTGTGCATAGATTGTTTAGGAGAAGCTTGAAGGGGTGCCAAATTCTCTGTCAGGGCTGACAAGAGGTAAATGTGGAAATAAAATATGCAAACACGGGAATCAGGCATGGAAGGGATAGGTGAGATCCAGGTTTCATGTGAGAAAGATACGGTCTGGGCACAATTCAATTTGTGCTCCAGCAATGAAAAAGGAATAAGACGGCGCACTTCACTTGTAATCAACCTAAGGGAAGAAGTAAATCAAACAACTTCCCTTACTAAGAGTGTGACTGCTAGAGGCAGAGGTATCTGGAAGGATGTGGAAACTCTGCAATCATCTATTTGTACAACCCTTTTCTCAAGCCAAGGATATAAACCTGGGAAGACACCTATATTGGAGTACAGAATAAACCCATTTGGTGAATTTTTTTTGGCTGTGATCAGTTCTGTTACCAAGGACATGATTTAAATTTGTTATATTCAAATCTACATAGAAATCAGTAATAGAAACTGTGCAAAGGGTTTCAGATAAGGCAGTAATGAATCTGCCTACCTGCGGCATAGCACAGTGGTTAAGAGCATCAACCAGGTTTGGAGTCTTGGCTGTCGCTCTTACTAGCTGTGGAATCATGGGTCAATTACTTAACACTGCCCCTTCTTATCTTTTAAATTGGGGTAAGAATACCCACATCATTGATGGTTGCACCACTATGTAAATTAAAAATCATTCAACTGAACACTTAAAACAGGTGAATTTTATAGTACGTAAATTATACCTTCATAAAGCTTTAAAAAAATGAGTACCCACATCATAGAAATGATGTGAAAATTAAAATGTAAACTGGCACTCTGCCTGTCAGGTAGTAAACACTCAATAAATATTAGTGACTAATATTAGTGTAACAAAGATGAGGTTAAAGAATAATAAAGATATATAAAGTTAAATTTTTAAAGAATTAAGGAATTATCGGGCTGGTTGAAACTTTTGAGATCACTTAGTTCAACTCTTTCATTTTACAGAGGAGAAAATTGGAGACCAGCAGGTGAAGTGCCTTGTTCAAGGTCTAGCGCTAAGACCAGCCCCCAGGCCTGTTGGGCCCCCATTAGTGCAATTCCCACTGTCACCCACGGCCTCAGAAACATGGACACATGGAAAATGTAGGCTGTTTCCTTGGAGAAGAAATAAATACAGAACACAAAAAACATGCAGACATAGCGAAGAAAGAATTTCAAGGCCGGGCATGGTAGCTCACACCTGTAATCTCAATACTTTGGGAAGTTGAGGCAAAAAGATTGCTGGAGCCCAGGCATTCAAGACCAGCCTGGGCAACATAGCAAGACTTTATCTCTATTTTTTTAAAGTTATTCAAGAAAAAAGAATTTCAAGGCCAAGGGGCAAAACCAAGAAGAGGCTACGACATCCTGACTTAGCCAGGGCCTCCAGTGCGGTCCAGGTCATGAGAACTTAAGTGCTTTGGCAAGGCCAGACCCTGGTTTGTCATCAGGTGAACTGACTCATCACTGTAGCCAGGTGCCCGGAGGAGGTGAAGCCACAGTCCTGTCTGCTACTTACTGTCACAATATCTGTCAGCAGTGGCAGGAGATGGGGCTAAAAATATATGCAGCAGAATTCTTAGGAGCAGTCAGTCTGAGCACCCCTGAAGTGTGGACAGCTCCTGAAGAGCTGCTTCTGCCCATGCCGAGCAGTGTGACCTCAATTGTTTATCCCCTGGTGTTGCCTAATCGGCCCCTCTGGATTCTAAGGCCTTCACTTATAATCCCGTTGTAAATTGCCTGTCAGTTCCTCCATCATGGCAGCCTCTTCAGATGAATAAGGAAGCCTGACAGATGTGAAATGAGCCTGCTTCTTCATTAATGCTGCCATCTTCTAAAGTAACTTCATAGCAGGGCTGGACGACTTTGAAGCTAATAACAGCTTACTAAATTATTCCAATGCTAAACAGTGGACAGGAGAATGAGGTGTGTCTTCTAAATTATGACTTTCTAATATTTCAGGGGGTAACAGTCAATGAGTCAACTCTCATTCTTAGGAGGTGGTGGAATCCTGTTCCCACAATTTTGCTGAAGAGTAATTTAGGAAAGATGGCTGGTACAGACCCTTAATGTTTGTTATGTGATCCACTGGGGGAGGAGAAGGGGAAGGAAGGACAGAGGGGAAATTAAGGCCTGAAAGAGCTTTTATGATTTAACTTAGCACACTGAAACCTCTCAATGAATAATTCATAAAAGTGCCTCATTAGTGCCTGCAGTCCTAGCTATTTGGAAGGCTGAGGCAGGAGGACTGTTTGAGCCCAGGAGTTCAAGGAAGCAGTGAGTTACGACTGTGCCACTGCATCCCATCCTGGGCAACAGAGCAAGACCCCAATGCTTAAAAAAAAAAAAAAAAAAGTGCCTCATCTTCTTCAACCAACTATTTAAAATCAGTGGGAGGACAGAGGAGGTTCTGTCCATTCATTGGATTTGAATACTTGGGGTGCATATTTGCATATTATGAACAAATGAATAAGTTGGACTTTAGCTTTTCCACTAAAAGCTTTCCTATTTTGCAGATTACTCCATACAGTGAACACTTTGATGTCGGAGGAGGTGAGAGCTCCGACTAAAAGTCTTCTGACATTCTTGGCACTCATAAGGCTTCTCTCCAGTGTGAATTCTCTGATGTATGATAAGTTGGGAATGCTGGCTAAATGTTTTCTCACACTCGCTACATTCATAAGGTTTCTCTCCAATATGAATTTTCTGGTGGAGAAGCAGCTCAGAATTATCCCAAAAGGTTCTTGCACACTCATTACATTGATGGGGTTTCTCTCCAGTATGAATTCTCTGGTGGACAATAAGGTGAGAGGTCCGCCTGAAAGCCTTTCCACACTCAAAGCATTCATAGGGTTTCTCTCCAGTGTGAATTCTCTCATGTCTAAGAAGTTCTGAGTTCCCCCTGAAGGCCTTCCCACATTCCTTACATACATAGGGCTTCTCACCAGTATGAATTCTAATATGTCTAATAATCTCTGAGTTCTGGCCAAAAGTTTTCCCACATTCATTACATTCATAGGGTTTGTCCCCTGTATGAATTCTCTGATGCCGGATAAGCTCAGAACTCTGCCCGAAGCCCTTCCCACATTCATTACACAGATATGGTTTTTCTCCAGTATGAATTTTCTGGTGTCTAATAAGGCCTGAGCTATGCTTGAAGGCTTTGCCACACTCATTGCATTCATGGTATCTTTCTTCAGTATGAATTCTCTGATGCTGAATAAGCTGTGAACTAACCCTAAAGGTCTTCCCACATTCATTACATTCATATGGTTTCTCTCCAGTATGGATTCTCTGGTGTAGAATAAGGGCTGAATTTTGACTGAAGGCTTTACCACATTCTTCACATTTATAGGGTCTCTCTCCAGTATGAATTCTATGATGGTGAATAAGGTGTGAACTCTGAATGAAGGCCTTTCCACATTCATTACAAGCAAAGGGTTTTTCTCCAGCATGAATTCTCAGGTGCCGTCGAAGGCTTGAATTAGTTCCAAATGTCTTTCCACATTCTTTACATTCAAAGGGTTTTTCTCCACTATGAACTCTCATATGCTGGATGAGATGTGAGTTCTGATTAAAGGCTTTCCCACATTCTTTACATGTATGAGGCTTTTCTCCCACAGAACTTCTCTGTGTTTTGTTAGATTCTAAAATCTCTAGGAAGTTTTGGCCAGAGGTAGCAAATGCACTAACTCCCTCTGTTGTATCTCCCTGATGTGTAACCAGATTTGGGCTGGGACTGCAGCCTCTCTCACTCTCATTATTCTCCCGGTCTTTCTCACTTGAGGGTGATTTCTTAAAGATCATCAACCCTGATGGAAAGTCTCTCTCCTGAGGAGACATCTGCTCTATAACCTCTTCCATGGACTCTCTCGAATGTCCCTCCAACATGTCTTCTTCACATCCTGCTCCAAACTCATGACCTTGGTAAACCACTTTTGGAAATTTTTCTAATAATGACCCATGTGGCTCAGATTCTTCAGAAATTTCTTCCTTGGGAATCACCTCCTTGTTCTCAGTCCCCATCTCACAATCTGAAATGAGAGAGGTAAGTATGTGAAGGGACCGTATCATATTTAAATGAAGCTAACACTAGAGGACAACAGAGCTTTGATGTAGTTCTCATAGCACTCAGAAACAGTCTTGGTCAGGGGAGGAGGGCAGCTGAGGCAGGAGGATTGCTTGAGCCTGGGGAGGTCAAGGCTGCAGTGAGCTGAAATGCGCCACTGCACTTCAGCCTGGGTGACAGGGCGAGACCCTCTCAAAACAAAAAAACAAAACAGAAACAGTCTTGATATCTGGCGAAATGACAAGATGCTGCCAAAGAGAAGATCCAGATTTAGGATTATGGTGGACATGCTAAACAGTGGATGCTGACAGGAGTGAGAAAAGATTTCAAGAGAGAAGTAGGAAATGGATGGTAAAGAGATGCTGATAAAAAAAAAATCCATAATATTAACGGTGAGTTGGGTTAGAACCTGAAGGTGATTAAAGAAAACATCTAGGGAAAATGGTGGCCATATTAATAGATAGGTATACGATAAATATTGAAAGAAGGGACAGAAATGACATGGTGGTTCACATCTGTAATCCCAGCACTTTGGGAGGCCGAGGCGGGCGGATCATTTGAGCTCAGGAGTTCAAGACCAACCTGGGCAACATGGCGAAACCCTGTCTACTAAAAATACAAAAACTAGCTGGGCATGGTGGCGTACACCTGTAGTCCCAGCTTCTTGGGGGGCTGAGGCAGGACAATTGCTTGAACCAGGGAGGCGGAGGTTGCAATAAGTGGAGACTGCACCACTGCACTCCAGGCTGGGTGACAGAGTCAGACCCTGTCTCAAAAAAGAAAAAAAAAGGACAAGTTAATATAAATAACTTTTGGGTGTACAGGGGAAGTAACTGCAAAATGAGTAACAAGAGGACTATTCTTAGTCCTGTTCTCTGGTACTCATCAGCTCTATAGAGCAGGAGAGGGGACATAGAGGGCTTACCTCTTCAAAAGATTAATGTGTCTTAGCTATAACTAGCACAGAAGTACCGCCTTTGGCTCCCTGACATTTGGAGCCACTGGCTTTAAACTTCTCCAAAGGGCTACTGAATTGTGTCAATACCATTTACTGAATAATTCTTTCCCCTACTGATTTAAAATGCCACCTATGCCATAGTCTAAATATCCATCTATATTTGGGCCAACTTCTGGATTCTATTCAGTTCCACTGATCCTTGTCTTCTCTAATATCAAACAGTTCAACCTGTTAGCTTTATTAACATTTTTAATATATGCTAGAGAAAGTTATCTCAGTTTTCTTTTTCAGACCTTTCCTGTCTATTCTCATATCTTCCCAAGTAAACTTTAGTATAAATTTGTAGTCCAAACTTATGCTGATGTTGTTTTTATGTTCATCATGTCTCTGTACCTCTTTTCATTTAGTGAGATTTTCTTACATTTTGTAACTGGCTATTACTTATATATATAGCAATGCTGTTGATCATTACATATTAATTTTGTAATCAGCTCTCTTATAGTATTTTCTTAATACCTTCATAGATTACTTAAAGAGTGCATTTTTGGCAGGGTGTGGTGGCTCACACCTGTAATTCCAGTACTTTGGGAGGCAGAGGTGGGAAGATGGCTTGAGCTCAGGAGTTCAAGACCAGCCTAGGTAACATAGGGAGATCTTGTCTCAACTAAAATTTTTTAAAAATTGGCCAGGGGCAGTGGCATGTGTCTGTAGTCTCAGCTACTGGGGAGGCTGAGGTAGGAGGGTCACTTGAGCCCAGGGGGTCAAGGCTGCAATGAGCCGTGATTGTGCCACTGTACTCCAGCCTGGGTAATAGAGCAAGACACCTTGTTTCTTGGGCAGGGGTGGGTGGGAGGAGAGTACCTTTTTAAAACTTTTACAAAGATTTTTAGTTGTGGCAAAAATGTTTAGTTGCCTACCCCAATATTATTCCCCATTGCCTTATAACAGAATAATAAATTTATATAGTGTGGCAATTAGCCTAGCTAAAAAAATACATTCCCCAGCTTTTTAATTTTTGCAGTTGGGATTGGCCACATGATCATATTCTAGCCAATGAGACAGTGAGATGCAAATGAAACCACATGGGACTACTAGGAAATCTCCTAAAGGATGAGGAGATACATTTCTTCCATCTTGTCTTCCATGCTGTTCCCAGAGCATGATGTGATAGCTGGACACCATCCTGGACCATGAGTATACTGGCATAGCCTAGGACTGGGGATCACAGCTGGAAGGAACCTGGGACCCTGATGACTCCATGGTACTGCCATACCAATCCTGGAATGCCAGCCTCTGGACTTCATTTATCTAAGAGAGAAATAAGCTTTTGCCTTGCTTAAGATATTGGGGGTTTTTTATTATTATACGAGGCCAAACCTATTCCTAATAAAACTGTCCTGGGGATTTGGCTGTCCCCACCACAGACAAGGGGTCCAAATGCCAGGAGAATAAGCCTGACCTTTGTTCAGATGGTAAGCAATCTGGAACTAATATTAAAGTGGCCTTTGCTTAGGGCAGTCTATTTGTGCACTACGGCAAATCTGAGGAATACAATCCTCCCGTCAGTGAAAGTGTTCACTGTGGAAGGTGATTCTCAAGGGGGCATGGGAATGTATGGAACTTCATCCTTTAGACATTGCAGAACTATGGGATGGTTTTTTAAACCAAGGAATGACATGGTCCCTAGTCAGATTAGCATTCCACGCAGATGCACACTCGTGGTCGTTTAGTGGCTGAAGTAGAAAGCAGTGGGCCTGGCCGGGCGTGGTGGCTCACGCCTGTAATTCCAGCACTTTGGGAGGCCGAGGATGGTGGATCACGAGGTCAGAAGATCGAGACCATCTTGGCTAACACGGTGAAACCCCGTCTCTACTAAAAATACAAAAAATTAGCCGGGCATGGTGGCGGGCGCCTGTAGTCCCAGCACTTTGGGAGGCCAAGGCGGGAGGATCACGAGATCAGGAGACTGAGACCATCCTGGCTCACACGGTGAAACCCCATCTCTACTAAAAAAAAAAAAAAAAAAAGAAAGCAGTAGGCCTGCACATAGGAAGATCAGCTGGGAGGCTGCTGCAGTCATCAAGGCAAAAGGTGATGTGATCTCACTAGAGCACTAGTAGCAGTGGGGAGGAAGAGACAGGCTGGGGAAATACGGAAGAGGTCAAATTCTGCAAGACTTGGTGTGTGACTGGAGATAGGTGTAAGGAGGGAGGACTCAAAGATGGTGCCCAGATCTCACTCAATTTGAGGGATGGTAATTAGATGGACGGTGGTGCCACAATATTCTGAATACTGGGAGAGGAGCTAATATAGCAATAAAAGATGATCAGTGAGCTCTGTTTTGGACAAAATGAGTTTCAAGGTATCCACAGAGAGGTATCAAAGAATCAGTCAAAATATATTGGTCTAAAGCTCAAAGTAGTCAGGACTAGAGATACAGACTTGAAAGTACTCAGCCTGAGTGTAGCATGAGAACCATCAGAGGCTGCGAACAGAAGCCTAGGAGTCAAAGAAACAGTCACGAGTGCTCCAGTTATCTTCCATTTTCCCTCTAGATCTTCTTTCCACCTTTCTCCCTGTCCCTCTTTGCCCCAGAAACCTAACCTGTATGGAACACATCAACAGAGCCTCTGGCTTCCAGCTGTGGTCCACCAATGAGGAGCCCCAGCAGGGGTCTGGAAGCAGGGACGAAAGGGCAGGGCAGGAGAAAGGGGTCAGGGTTCCTTCCTGTGAGGTCGCCTTGGGTTGGTGTTGTCCCTCAACTGAGGTCCCTACTCCTCTCAACTCTATCCTACTCAGTAGTCTCACTGTCTGGGTTCCAGTAACCTCTACTCCCTCCTCTCTCTTCAGGCCCAGGGCTAGTGACTATTATTGCCAGCCCTGGGTTCTTCAATGACCTGCCCACACCTAGATCATTTATAATTAACCTCGCTGCAAATAAACCCTCCTCAAATTATCCTAATTTGAGTGAGCTGTTTCCTGTTCAGACTCCGTTCATAAAGGGGTGAGTAGAGGAAGAGAATGAGCCAAGAAGATAAAGAATGGTAGGGAAACTGAAAAACCAGAATAATGTGTCACAGAAGTCACTTAGGCATTGGCAGAGGGAATTTAAAAATATCGAGTGAAGGCTAGGAACGGTGGCTCACGCCTTTAATGCCAGCACTTTGGGAGGAGTAGGTGGGAGGATCACTTGAGCCCAGGAGTTTGAGACCAGCCTGGGAAACATAGCAAGACCCCATCTCTACAAATTAAAAATTTAGCCAGGCATAGTGGCATGTGCCTGTAGTTCCAGCTACTCGGGAAGCTGAGGTGGGAGGATCACTTGAGCCTGTGAGGTAGAGGCTGCGGTAACCTATGATTGAGCCACTGTACTCCAGCCTGGGCAACAGAGTGAGACTCTGTCTCAAAAAAAAAAAAAAAAAAAAATCAAATGCAGTTGAGATTCGCTAGGATAAGAATTAGAAAATGTCTACTGAGGCTGGGCACAGTGGCTCACGCCTGTTATCCCAGCACTTTGGGAGGCCAAGGCAGGCAGATCATGAGGTCAGGAGATCGAGACCATCTTGGCTAACACGGTGAAACTCCGTCTCTACTAAAAGTACAAAAAAAGGAGCCAGGCGTGGTGGCGGGCGCCTGTAGTCCCAGCTACTCGGGAAGCTGAGGCAGGAGAATGGCCTGAACCCGGGAGGCGGAGCTTGCAGTGAGCCAAGATCACACCTCTGCACTCCAGCCTGGGTGACAGAGCGAGACTCCGTCTCAAAAAAAAAAAAAAAAAAAAAGAAAGAAAATGTGTACTGAGACAATAGATAGTCACATATGAACTGTGAGCACAGATTCAGGGGAATGACAGTAGCAAAAGCCAGCTGGTAGTGGACTGAATAATGAATTTGCTGCTTCTTTAAAAAAAAAAAAAAAAGTGGATGAAAGGAGAAGACCAAGACGGACAGTGCTATAGAGCAAGGCTTTCCTCTGATGGAAGAGATATGAACATGTTTATATTAGAAGGAATAGGTCCAGCAGAGAGACAGGGGTTAAGAGTGAAGAAAGGATGAGATTACTGAAGAAACAAAGACCCTGAGCAGCAGAGGAGGCTGGAGTCATGTGGTAAGGGAAGGGGAAAGGTGGAGATTTGGGGGCGACTTTGGACTCCCCTTCTCTCTGCCCAGCCTCCCGTTATCCACAGGATGTTGGTTACTAACACCATCCGGCTCGGGCACCTCTAGTCACTCATCAGGGCAGCCTGGTAATGCCCCCCTCCCCAGACACCTGGAAGGAACCTGATCTCCTACTGGAATCCTGAAGTCTTAGAAGCTCTTTGTGCTACACCTGAAAATGAGGTGGAACTTTCTTTGACCTTCCCCATCTCAGCATCTTCTCTCATTTTCCCATGAAGTAAGAGAGGGCACCTAAAAACTGTACTTCTCCTTTTTGTTGAAATCTTTGAAAATTATAGGTAATGTGTATCTATACAATTGTAAGAATCCATTGTCGAGAATTTAGCTATCTTCTTCCTCCATGGTACCATCTGAGTTGGGAAGTACTGTCTTAAATACATTTCTCTCTCATCCCTACCCAAGAGCAAGTTCCACAAGCTGCCATTTCAGTCTCCATCTGCTTCCAACCCCCTCTCTGGCCTTTCCTTTTCATCCTCATGCCTCCTATACTTGCTTATTTTCCATCATCTAGTTCTTTACAAAATCAGCATTCGTAGAGCTGACACGTGTACCACGATAAATGGAAAATCACTTTTTCTTAGCAAAACAAGATACGACAGAAGTTAGGTATGTATTTATCCCCAGTCAAGTAACCAGGACCTAGTTTAAAACTCAAATTCAGGGCCGGGTGTGGTGGCTCACACCTATAATCCCAGCACTTTGGAAGGCCGAGGTGGGCAGATCACGAGGTCAGGAGATCAAGACCATCCTGGCTAACACAGTGAAACTCCATCTCTACTAAAAATACAAAAAATTAGCTGGGCGTGGTGGCGGGCGCTTGTAGTCCCAGCTACTCAGGAGGCTGATGCAGGCGAGTGGCGTGAACCCAGGAGGCGGGGCTTGCAGTGAACCAAGATTGCGCCACTGCACTCCAGCCTGGGCGACAGAGCAAGGCTCCGTCTCAAAAAAAAAAAACAAAACTCAAATTCAGAAAGTCTCCCCTGGCCAGGCACGGTGGCTCATGCCTGTAATCCCAGCACTTTGAGAGGCTGAGGCAGGCAGAACCACCTGAGGTCAGGAGTTCGAGACCAGCCTGGACAACATGGTGAAACCCTGTCTCTACTAAAAAAAACACACAAAAAATTAGCCAGGCATGGTGGTGTGCACCTGTAGTCCCAGTTACTGGGGAGGCTGAGGCAGGAGAATCGCTTGAGCCCAGGAGGCACAAGTTGTAGTGAGCCAAGATCACTCCACTGCACTCCAGCCTGTGCAACAGAGTAAGATTCCATCTCAAAAAAAACACAGAAAGCCTTCCCCCACTAAATCTTACCCACTCTGATCATTCTTTTACTTTGCATTCTGCCAGCAACACAGTATGTCATTTGTCAAATACTGCTCTATGGGTATCTTCTCAAATACAAATCAAAGCCAATCTCCATTTGGTTGATTCTTCCAGAGGCACAGCCATATATTAGGCCTCAGACTCATATGGAAACACCACTTCTCATAGCCTAAATTCAAATTCCCAAATACAATTTTCTATCTTTCCGTTTCTCACTTCCTCACTTTCCTAAATCTGAAATTAAATGTTTCTGAAGAGAGATAAGATGGAGGTGCTACTGGAAGAGTAGAGGTTGACCACTGGTCCTCAGTTTGGGCATGACAGGCAGACCTCTATTGGGTTTCCACAGCTCAGAATAGGACCCTCAACTTGGCAGACCTAAATTTGTCTTTTCAATGCACCCAAGGAAAGCAAGCTCAAAAAGCCTCATTCAGGCCGGGCGCGGTGGCTCACGCCTGTAATCCCAGCACTTTGGGAGGCCGAGGCGGGCGGATCACGAGGTCAGGAGATCGAGACCATCCTGGCTAACACGGTGAAACCCCGTCTCTACTAAAAATACAAAAAATTAGCCGGGCGTAGTGGCGGGCGCCTGTAGTCCCAGCTACTTGGGAGGCTGAGGCAGGAGAATGGCGTGAACCCGAGAGGCGGAGCTTGCAGTGAGCCGAGATCCCGCCACTGCACTCCAGCCTGGGCGACAGAGCGAGACTCCGTCTCAAAAAAAAAAAAAAAAAAAAAAAAAAGCCTCATTCACAACGTACTGATGTATAAACCAGATATCTATTAATTAACAACAAGAAATAAAATTTATAAAGGACCATATTACCTAGATGAAAATCTACATGAGCCAGGCACAGTAGCTCATGCCTGTAATCCCAGCACTTTGGGAGGCCGAGGCAGGCAGATCACCTGAGGTCAGGAGTTCAAGACCAGCCTGGCCAACATGGTGAAACCTCATCTCTACAAAAATACAAAAATTGGCTGGGCATGATGGTGGGTGCTTATAATCCCAGCTACTCGGGAGGCTGAGGCAGGAGAATCAGTTGAACCTGGGAGGTGGAGGTTGCAGTGAGCTGAGATCGCACCATTGCACTCCAGCCTGGGCGACAGAGCCAGACTCCATCTCAAAAAAAAGAAAAGAAAAGAAAAGAAAAGAAAAGAAAATCTGCATGGAAAGCCACATAAAACCCTGAAAATTGCTTAGGAGCCCTGAAATCATGGCAGGAAGATCTTGTTAGATGAATGTCTCTTAAACAATGGTTCCTGGCCTGGAACTAGGCTAGCTGCGTGAGAATCCACTGAGAAATCTGTTAAAAATACTAATGTCCAGGTCCCATCTCAGATCTCTCAGAATCAGAATCTCTAGTGGGACCAAGAGATCTATATTTTAAACAAGTACCCTAGGTGATTCTGATGCCCAGCCAGGTTTGAAAACCACTGTTACAAAGTCTTTTTTTTTTTTTTTGAGATAGAGTTTCACTCTTGTTCCCCAGCTGGAGTGCAGTGGTGCAATCCTGGCTCCACCTTCCGGGTTCAAGCAATTCTCCTGCCTCAGCCTCCCAAGTAGCTGGGATTACAGGCTTGCACCACCGTGCCTGGCTAATTTTGTATTTTTAGTAGAGATGGGGTTTCTCCGTGTTGGTTAGGCTGGTCTCCAACTCCTGACCTCAGGTGATCCATCCACCTCGGCGTCCCAAAGTGCTGGGATTACAAGCATGAGCCACTGCGCCCGGCCTACAAAGTCTTAATGACTGGAGTTATCCTACTCTTAATGTGGTGTATCCATCTTTACCCAAAACCTGGCCTACAGGCAGATCAACACAGGTGTCGAGCAGCAGAATTATGGGTACATTGCCAGTTCCTGCTCTGACTTTTTTCCTCTTCTCAATCTAGATTGCCCCTCCCCTCCCCTAAACCTGACAGCAGACAGATATAATACAACTGACTGCATACCTCTTCTGAGTTAAAAACCACCTTTCTCTTATGCTTAACAAACTGACTCTAGTTACTGTAACTGGACCTGATTTTGCCCAAACTGCATCAACCTGCATTTACAGCAATCTCTTGTAGCAATATCACAACTTTTTGAACTTATCTGCCAAAAAGCCACACAGTGATTTGTAGTAAAACATTACGGCATAATCTGGCAGCTGACTGACAACCTGATTACATCTTTTAAAAATTCTGTTGGGACTGGGCACGCCTATAATCCCGGCACTTTGAGAGGCTAAGGTGGGTACATCACTTAAGCCCAGGAGTTTGAGACCAGCCTGGCCAACAGGGCGAAACCTGTCTCTAGAAAAATTACAAAAAAATTAGCCAGCCACGGTGGTGAATGCCTATAATCCCAAGCTACCTGGGCAGCTGAGGTGGGAGGATCACCTGAGGCTGGCAGGTGAAGGATGCAGTGAGCTATGATCACACCACTGCACTCCAGCCTGGGTGACAGAATAAGAGACCCTGTCTCAAAAAATTAAGTAAAATTTTGTTGGGAGCAAAGATTGGGACTTGTATTACAAAACGTCCAAAAAACTCACTTCTTCAACAAATTGTCTCTGTATGGCACGCTAGAGGATTTTCCACTGCAGAGGGATGCACCATGGTAACCTTAAGGAGATGCGTGAGTGGTGTCTTTATTTATTTTATTTTACTTATTATTTTTTTGAGACGGAGTCTCACTCTGTCGCCCAGGCTGGAGTGCAGTGGCGTGATCTTGGCTCACTGCAACCTCTGCCTCCTGGTTTCAAGCGATTCTCCTGCCTCAGCCTCCCTAGTAGCTGGGATTACACACGCCCACCACCAGGCCCGGCTAATTTTTTATATTTTTAGTAGAGACAGGGTTCCACCCTGTTAGCCAGGATGGTCTCGATCTCCTGACCTCATGATCCACCCGCCTCGGCCTCCCAAAGTGCTGGGATTACAGGCGTGAGGCACCGTGCCCAGCCTGTTTTTTGTATTTTTAGTAGAGGCGGGGTTTCACCATGTTGGCCAGGCTGGTCTCAAACTCCTGACCTCAAATGATCCACCCACCTCGGCCTCCAAAAGTGCTAGGATTACAGGCGTGAGCCACCATGCCTGGCCGGTGTCTTTCTTTTATAAAAGAAGAAAAGGGCCAGGCGTGGTGGCTCACGCCTGTAATCCCAACACTTTGGGAGGCTGAGGCGGGTGGATCACGAGGTCAGGAGATCGAGACCATCCTGCCTATTACGGTGAAACCCCGCCTCTACTAAAAACACAAAAAATTAGCCGGGCGTGGTGGCAGGCACCTGTAGTCCCAGCTACTCGGGAGGCTGAGGCAGGAGAATGGCGTGAACCCGGGAGGCAGAGCTTGCAGTGAGCCAAGATCGCACCACTGCACTCCAGCCTGGGTGATAGAGCGAGACTCCGTCTCAAAAAATAAAATAAAATAAAATAAAATAAAATGAAGAAAAGAACAATTGTGAAAAAATGTGAGAGAAGAGAAACCTACAGGCCACAGGCCCATTCTTAAGCAGATCACTCATAGGCAAGGATACAAAATAAAGTCAAGGATCTAGAAGTTGATTTCCATTCAACAATCTATGTGCCCAAAGATGTTACAGAAAGTGTCTGTGTACCCCCTCCACATATTTCCATCTGAAGACCACTGCACTATAGCATTCCGGACAGAAAGTGGGCAAGCAAGAGGCCAGGAAGTACAGGAGGAGTAAGAAAAGAAACAGACATCACGGCTAACACGGTGAAACCCCACCTCTAGTAAAAATACAAAAATTAGCCAGGTGTGGTGGAAGGCACCTGTAGTCCCAGCTACTCGGGAGGCTGAGGCAGGAGAATGGTGTGAAGCCCGGGGCAGGCCGAGCTTGCAGTGAGCCAAAATTGTGCCACTGCACTCCAGTGCAGAGTGAGACTCCATCTCAAAAAAGAAAAAAAAAAAAAAAGAACAGAAACAGAAAAAACATTGGGATTTCAATGTAGCATGCACGGGGTGGGATAAATATGGAGGGGAGATGAGCCAGGCAGCACTGACATTTTGATGTGGAGGCTAATGATAAGCTCTCACCATGTGCTAAGCAACTTACAGACATTAACCCTTACCACCACCTCATGAAACAAGCAAGCTGGAGAGCATCAGAGTGAAGAGGGGCCAATCACCATGCTCTCCTGACTTCTTTCAGTGGCAGTTTTGGCAGCCTGAGAATCCAGGGAGATGTGTGGTGGAAGACTGAGGAGGCGAGGCCTAGGGAGGTTAGTCAGGACAGAGCTGAGATGACTAAGTGAGATACGGATGGAAATGAAGGGGGGCTGGGAGGAGTGGGGTGCTAAGAGATGGAGGTTACAGAGAGGGTGAAGGATGTGATGAGCACCTTCTTTGTGCTCCAAGGGAAGGTAACCAAGGGAAGGTATCTGGGAAACTGGGATGAGGTTTTATTTTGAAATGTCGAAATTTTAATACCTCAAAAATAATATCCTTTGAAACTCATTAAAATTTATGATGAGAAATGGAAATGTTTTGGATGTCAACTTGCAAATGTATAAAGAGACACAAACCTTCCAAAATTATTTTACGGGGTATGTGAGCAAAAATATTTGCAGTGGCTTTGCTTTCCTTGCCAGAGATCTAACCTCATCCAAGAGCTCCAGCAGGACACTCCAACTGAGTTAACCCAGTCAAATAAATGCCCTAATTCTTGCAAGGCACTGGTTCAGAAACAGCAAGGATTCGGGAATTCCTGGTTTGGAAATGGACATCCACCTTCATCTGGGTCAATATTTTGAGGACGTTTGCTGGGAGCTTCTGGGAATAGTTTCCTGCCATCCTGAGAGAACCATAGGAAAATACTTCCATATATTATTGCCTGTACCTGCTGCTGCCATCTCACTACCAGCCTGTGGATGAGGGCAGCTAAAGCTCAGAAAAACAAGGGAGATGCTGCCAGGGCCACTGGATTAATCAGTCCTGAAACCACGATACCTATTTTTTTTTTTTTCTTTGGAGATGGAGCCTCGCTCTGTCTCCCAGGCTGGAGTGCAATGGCGCAATCTTGGCTCACCGCAACCTCCGCCTCCCAGGCTCAGGCGATTCTCCCACCTCAGCCTCCCAAGCAGCTGGTATTACAGGCATCTGCCACCACGCCTGGCTAATTTTGTATTTCTAGTAGAGACAGGGTTTCACCATGTTGGCCAGGCTGGTCTCGAGCTCCTGACCTCAGGTGATCCGCCCACCTTTGCCTCCCAAAGTGCTGGGATTACAGGCATGAGCCATCACGCCCAGCTGACCCCCTCCATTTTCTTCCCTGACCCCCAGGCTCTAAGGCAGACAGCTACTCCTTCACCTTGTAGCAGCTACCCCACTGCATTATTAATTTTTCATACCTATTTTCTTCTCTAGACCATAAGCAAGGATGCTGTTCCATTCATCCTGGTATTCTGAGTACCTAGCATATTTCAGATACCTGGTAAATGTTAAGTGAATTTGTGTAACTGTCTTATATATATAATGAATCTGCAATACCTCCCTTTTTTCTGAGACAGGGTCTTGGCTCTATTGCCCAGACTCACTGCAGCTTCAACTTCCCAGGCTCAAGAAAATCCTCCCACCTCAGCCTCCCAAGTAGCTGGGACTACAAGCATGCGCCACCACACCCAACTACCCAACTAATTTCTTTGTTTTTTGTACAGATGGTGTCTCACTATGTTGCCCAGGCTGGTCTTGAACTCCTGTGCTCAAGTGATCCTCCCGCCTAGGCCTCCCAAAATGCTGGGATTACAGGCATGAGCCACTGCACCCAGCCTCTGTAATACTCTTGATGGCTAACTGGATATTTCATTCATCATTATATCTAAAGAGCCTAGGATAGTGTCTGACACATAGCTGGTGTCGATAACTGTTTGTAAAAATAAGTTCCTTTTCCCAATCTGGGTGATATTTAATTTATGGCACTGTTAACCTCCTTTCCTCTCTTCTCCCTCTGACCCACAATAGGGCTCTATCTTTGCAGCTCAAACCTGTCTCCTTTTCACGACCACCCCTCATAAGCCAATATCTTGTCTGGCAGCACAGGGCACAATCTGCCACTAGGGCGTTAAGTTTGTGACACTGCCCGCCATTTCGTCCTAGCGGTTTACTTGGGGGTGGAATGTCTGAGAAAACCACAGCTCCCACGGGTCCCCACCTCGGTACAGAAGGGAGTGTCCCTGCTTCTCCCACCCCCACGGCTGACAGGCACCAAACCAGAGCTGGGACTGTCCCTGGCGGTGTCCAGGCCCCACCCTCTCTGTGTGCAGGTGGAAATGAAGGCCTGGGGGCGGGGGGAATGGAGGGAGGCATAAACTTCAAGGTCACACAGCGAACCCCGGTCAGAACGGGCCTAAACGTAGGGTTTCCGCTCGGCTCTCTAGGGAGCTGGGAGCCCAGCCCCCGCCTACCCCCACAGCCGCGACGGAATGAGGTCTCACCGCAGGCCGCTACTGCCCCGCGCTCGCTCACTCCGCTGAGGCTCCGCGCTGCTGGGCCGCTCGCACAGAGCCCGCAGCTGTTGTCCCGGTGTCACTGGCGACGGGCATCGGCCACTTCCGGTACCCGGGCGGCACTCCAGCCAATCGGCGCGCGTCGCACTCCGCTGGAGGAACAGGTGGTCAGCGCACCGACGCCCCCTTGCCTTTTCCGGCTTGCTTTTCGCCGGTTCTAGCCCTAGCCCAAGTTCCACGTCGCCGCCGCCTGCCGAGCCGGCTCCCTGGAACAGCAAAGTGCACCCGTCGATGCCCACTTCAGCCCCGGAATCATTGACGACCTGAGTCCTCCGGGTTTCCTAGAACGGCTCCGGGGATGAACTTCCGCTCCGCGATCTGCCGCTCTGCGCCCTCGTGTCGCTCCCCAAGCATTGCTCTAGGCTCAAGAACTCGAGAATCCGCTTCGCATTCCCGCGGGGACCGTTTGCGCGACCCTTTTAACTCTCCCAACCCGCATCGTTCTTATCCCATCCTTCCTTTCCACAGACTCCGTGGGTCTGATAAGCACAGGGCTGCAGATCCTGGGAACAGGTCTCTCCTCGGCGGGAGCGAAGGGAGACATGCTTTGAGTTCCGGAAGGGCTTGCAGGAGTGACGTTTGGCCTGAAATCTCAAGATTGCGTGGGAATTACCAAGGTTAAGAGTAAAGGCCTAGGTTAAGCTGCCGAGGCCACGGAAACAGCATTCTGCAGCTAGCCTTCCTGGGTTCCCTGAGCAAGCTTGGCCCATTCTCACCTCAGAACCTTTCCTTGTTACTTCCTCTGTAATTTTGCACAGCCAGCTTGTTTTCTTGTTTGTTTGTTTTTTGAGATGGAGTTTCGCTCTTGTTGTCCAGGCTGGAGTGCGATGGCGCCATCTCCGCTCACCGCAACCTCCGCCTCCCGGATTCAAGCGATTCTCCTACTTCAGCCTCCCCGAGTAACTGGGATTACAAGCATGTGCCACCACGCCCGGCTAATTTTGTATTTTAGGTAGAGACGGGTTTTCTCCATTTTGGTCAGGCTGGTCTCGAACTCCCGACCTCAGGTGATCCGGCCGCCTCGGCCTCCCAAAGTGCTGGGATTACAGACATGAGCCACCGCGCCCGGCCTCCAGCTTGTTTTTGTTTGTTTTTTGAGGCGGAGTTTCGCTCTTGTCGCCAAGGCTGGAGTGCAATGGCACGATCTCTGCTCACTGCAACCTCCACCTCCCGGGTTCAAGCGATTCTCCAGCCTCAGCCTCCAGAGTAGCTGGGATTACAAGTGCCAGCCACCACGCCCGGCTAATTTTTGTATTTTTAGTAGAGACGGGGTTTCACCATGTTGGTCAGGCTGGTCTCGAACTTCTGACCTTAGGTCAGACCTTAGGCCCACCTTGGCCTCCCAAAGTGCTGGGATTACAGGCGTGAGCTACCGCGTCCAGCCAGCCAGTTTGTTTTTAGGTGTCAGTTCCAAGATCACCACATTGAAGACTTTCATTCTATATAATGTTGCCTCAGAGTACACTATCCTTCCCAAATATCAGTTACAAAGGACTATGATTAGCCCTGTTTGGGTCTGGTGCTCAACCATGGACCAATCAAGGGGGAAAGGACCGTGTGATTTACCAAGCCTGGTCACCTGCCTTCCCGCAAGGATGACGGCGGGCTTCTGTGTTTGCCTCACCATAATCCTATGAAATAGGGAAAGGAGTGACCACCCTTAGAAGGGAATATTGTGTTTGTATGCCACACACAATCTAGCAGAAAGAAAACTTTCTCTTGAATTCATCATTGCCATTAGGCCCTAGACTCTAGGGTCCATCACTTTAGCCACTCTGGTACTAAAATCCTTAACTCCCTTGCCCTACTGTCTGCAACTGCATGGGAAGTTTGTTAACTCTGATTCAATCAGAATATCTATTTTCCGGCCGGGCGTGGTGGCTCATGCATGTGATCCCAGTACTTTGGGAGGCTGAGGCAGACAGATCACAAGGTCAGGAGTTCGAAACCAGCCTGGCCAAAATGGTGAAACCCATCTCTATTAAAAGTACAAAAATTAGGGCCAGGTGCGGTGGCTCACACCTGTAATCCCAGCACTTTGGGAGGCGAAGGCGGGAGGATCACAAGGTCAGGAGTTCGAGACCAGCCTGGCCAATATGGTGAAACCCTGTCTCTACTAAAAATACAAAAATTAGCCAGGCATGGTGGTGCATGCCTGTAGTCCCAGCTACTCGAGAGGCTGAGGCAGAAGAATCACCTGAACCTGGGAGGCGGAGGTTACAGTGAGCTGAGATCACGCCACTGCACTCTCGCCTGGGCGACAGAGTAAGACTCCATCTCAAAAAAAAAAAAAAAAAACTACAAAAATTAGTCAGATGTGGTGGCTCGCACCCGTAATCCCAGCTACTCGGGAGGCTGAGGCAGGAGAATCGCTTGAACCTGGGAGGCAGAGGTTGCCGTGAGCCAAGATCACGCCACTGCACTCCAGCCTGGGCCACAGAGCGAGATTCTATGTCAAAAAAAAAAAAATCTGTTTTCCTTGCCCATGCGGCTAATGGTGAGTGGGAAAAATATATTTTGTTTAAGAGTCCTAAGGTAATCTTATGGTCTCTGCTTTCCACAGGCCCAGAAATCACTTTCTGTTTCCCTACTCAGCTTGTCTACCATTTTCCACGGTTGCCATTGCAACCTTCCTCACTCTGCTCAAAACTTTCTCCAAGCCGTGATCCAAGAAAAGTCCATTTCCATCAAAATCATTGCAAGCTACATTTATCCCAAGGAAAGACGCCCAGACTACAAAAATATCCTGCCGCAGAACCAAGGGTGGAAGATATTTGGTTTTACTGAGCTTTATCTAGTACACCTGCATTAATGGGTGTCTGCCTCAAGAGCCTAAATCGTGATTCTCAACCTTGACTGTGGGGAAAAGCAAGAGAGATCAGATTGTTACTGTGTCTGTGTAGAAAGAAGTAGACATAGGAGACTCCATTTTGTTCTGTACTAAGAAAAATTCTTCTGCCTTGAGATTCTGTTAATCTATAACCTTACCCCCAACCCCGTGCTCTCTGAAACATGTGCTGTGTCAACTCAGAGTTGAATGGATTAAGGGCGGTGCAAGATGTGCTTTGTTAAACAGATGCCTGAAGGCAGCATGCTCCTTAAGAGTCATCACCACTCCCTAATCTCAAGTACCCAGGGACACAAAAACTGCGGAAGGCCGCAGGGACCTCTGCCTAGGAAAGCCAGGTATTGTCCAAGGTTTCTCCCCATGTGGTAGTCTGAAATATGGCCTCGTGGGAAGGGAAAGACCTGACCATCCCCCAGCCCGACACCCGTAAAGGGTCTGTGCTGAGGAGGATTAGTATAAGAGGAAGGAATGCCTCTTGCAGTTGAGACAAGAGGAAGGCATCTGTCTCCTGCCTGTCCCTGGGCAATGGAATGTCTCGGTATAAAACCCGATTGTATGCTCCATCTACTGAGATAGGGAAAAACTGCCTTAGGGCTGGAGTGGGACCTGCGGGCAGCAATACTGCTTTGTAAAGCATTGAGATGTTTATGTGTATGCATATCTAAAAGCACAGCACTTAATCCTTTACATTGTCTATGATGCAAAGACCTTTGTTCACGTGTTTGTCTGCTGACCCTCTCCCCACAATTGTCTTGTGACCCTGACACATCCCCCTCTTCGAGAAACACCCACAAATGATCAATAAATACTAAGGGAACTCAGAGGCTGGCGGGATCCTCCATATGCTGAACGCTGGTTCCCTGGGTCCCCTTATTTCTTTCTCTATACTTTGTCTCTGTGTCTTTTTCTTTCCTAAGTCTCTCGTTCCACCTTACGAGAAACACCCACAGGTGTGGAGGGGCAACCCACCCCTACACTTGACTGCACATTGGAATCACCTGGGGTCTAAAATCATGGCTGTCTGGTGCCTCCCACATAGACTCTGTTGAAATTGATCTGAAAAAAGATCTGGACGTGGATTGTTTTGCTTTTAACTTTCCAGGTAATTCTGACCTACAGCCATGGTTGAAAACCAATAGCATAGGCCAATGGTTCTCAAAGTGTGGTCTCTAAACCAGCAGCATTAGCATCACCTGGGGACTTGTTAGAAATGAAAATTCTTAGGCCCCACCCACAGATCTTCTAAATCAGAAACTCTGGAGTTGGAGCTCAGAAATGTGTTGTGGCTTTTTTGTTTTGTTTTGTTTGGTTTGGTGGCTGTTGTTTTTTGAGATGGAGTCCACTCTGTCGCCCAGGCTGGGGTGCAGTGGTGCCATCTCAGCTCACCACAACCTCCGCCTCCTGGGTTCAAGTGATTCTCCTGCCTCAGCCTCCCGAGTAGCTGGGATTATAAGTATGCACCACCACACCTGGCTAATTTTTGTACTTTTAGTAGAGATGGGGTTTCACCGTATTGGCCAGGCTGGTCTTGATCTCCTGTCCTCAGGTGATCCACCTGCCTCGGCCTCCCAAAGTGCCAGGATTACAGGTGTGAGCCACCAAGCCCGGCCCAGAAATGTGTGTTTTAACAACACTTCATGGCTCTGATGCACAATAAAGTTTGAGAATCATTGGCCCCAGCTTTGGCAGTGCTTAATCTGACCTGCGCTTGTGTGTGAGTTAGGAAGGAAAAGGATAAGTTGTCTCCTCTCAGCCACTCCCCGGCTCACCGTTTGCTTTATTTTATTTTATTTTGTTTTGTTTTTTGAGATGGAGTCTTGCTCTTGTCGCTCAGGCTGGAGTGCAATGGCGTGATCTTGGCTCACCGCAACCTCCACCTCCGAGGTTCAAGCGATTCTCCTGCCTCAGCCTCCTGAGTAGCTGGGAATACAGCCACGTGCCACCACGCCCGGCTAATTTTTGTATTTTTAGTAGAGACAGGGTTTCTCCATGTTAGTCAGGCTTGTCTGGAACTCCTGAGCTCAGGTGATCCGCCCACCTCGGCCTCCCAAAGTGCTGGGATTACAGCCGTGAGCTACCACGCCTGGCCCACCGTCTGCTTTATTACACTAGCCAACCTAGGTGCCACCTGGAGTAATAGGAATCTACTGAGTGAAGGAGACAAGGACATATGGTTTGTAAATACTGTTCCCACTTTCAGCCTGTATGAGGATGTGTATGACTGGGCAGGGGCTGATGTTTCACGGTCTACTAACAGGTTCAGGACTTCCACAGAATTGGCTTTATAGGTGAGTATGAGCAGTTCTGTTCCTCTTAAAAAAAAAAAAAAAGGTAGATAGGAACACTGACCACCCTCCTGAATTCACACAGAGACAAACACATGGAGAAACCAAAGACACACTGCACTATTTCACCCTTGTCCCTTCTCTTCTATCTGTAGAATATGTGAGAAGGAGGGCTACAGGCACTGGCTGCACTCCTTTCTTACATTTTTATTTTATTATTTTATTATTTTATTTTATTTTATTTTTGAGACAGAGCTTCACTCTTGTCGCCCAGGCTGGAGTGCAATGGTGCAATCTTGGCTCACTGCAACCTCCGCCTGCTGGGTTCAAGCGATTCTCCTGCTTCAGCCTCCCAAGTAGTTGGGATTACAGACATGCACCACCACTCCTGGCTAATTTTTGTATTTTCAGTAGAGACAGGGTTTCGCCGTGTTGGACAAGCTGGTCTCGAACTCTTCACCTCAAGTGATCCACCTACCTCGGCCTCCCAAAGTGTTGGGATTACAGGCATGAGCCACTGCGCCCGGGCTCCGCTTCTTATCACTGCCAGCTGCTTCCTTACTCCTGCCTTTCTTCTTTTAACTAGGCCAACCTCACAGAACATCCTACATACCCAAAGTCTCACTCAATGTGACACAGACGAATCTTGCCTCATGTGATTTAACTATTTCCTACAGACACACAGCTGTCCTTGAGGTCCAGGACCATGTCACATGTCTTTGAGAGTTCTGCAGGAGGCACTGGTGGTGCTGGGCCTCTGTTCAGTGGAAACTTGATGGACAAAAATATTCATATCTCACCTCTGCACAGTAACGTGACTGGCTGAAGCTGAATCAAGGTTCAGTTACATCCTTGGTGTTCCCCCTTACACCTCCAGCTGTGAAGATGTAAGGAAGTAGAGCAAAGGAGCAACTTCCTACTCTGGAGTTAACAATTATACAGATGGTCCCCAACTTAACAATGCTTCAACTTGCAAGTTTTTGACTTTACAACAGTGCGGGAACAATACACATTCAGTAGAAAATATACTTCTTTTTTTTTTTTTTTTTTTTTTTTTTGAGACAGTTTTGTTCTGTTGCCCAGGCTGGAGTGCAGTGGCACAATCTCAGCTCATTGCAACCTCCACCTCCCGGGTTCAAGCACTTCTCCTGCCTCAGCCTCCTGAGTAACTGGAATTACAGGCACATGCCACCACGCCTGGAAAGAGATCAAAATTCAGAATTTGAAGTATAGGCCGGGGGCGGGGGCTCACGCCCATAATCCCAGCACTTTGGGAGGCCGAGGTGGGCAGATCACCTGAGGTCAGGAGTTTGAGACCAGCCTGGCCAACATGATGAAACCCTGTTTCTTTTTTTCTTTTCTTTTCTTTTTTTTTTTTTTTTTGAGATGGAGTCCTGCTGTGTCACCCAGGCTGGAGTGCAGTAGCATGATCTAAGCTCACTGCAACCTCCGCCTCCCGGATTCAAGCCATTCTCCTGCCTCAGCCTCCCAAGTAGCTGGGGTTACAGGCACTCGCCACCTGTAATATTTGTATTTTTAGTAGAGACGAGGTTTTGCCGTGTTGGCCAGGGTGGTCTCGAACTCCTGACCTCAGGTGATCCACCTGCCTGGGCCCCCCAAAGTGCTAGGATTATAGACATGAGCCACTGCACCCGGCCTGAATGCATTTTCAACTTACAAAATGTTCACCTTACGATAGGTTGATCAGGATGTAACCCCATTATAAGTTGAGGAACATCTGTATCAAGGAGGCCAGAGCAACCAATTCTGAACCTGACCCAGCAAGATCACGTTTTTACTGTGCTTGGATGACAGATCCTTCTTGGGCAAGTTCTTTAAGCCTAAGAGGTGCGTTGGGGTCCTGTAAGGTCCATGTCTGTCTTAGGTGAAACCACCGTCCGTTTCACAGTGGGAGAAATGCAGCACCACCCAGAAACCTCAGCCTCCCAAAAACCACCATGAGAGGGAAGACAGAGAAGAAAAGGCTGGCTTAGAGGAGGGGTCAGTACTGGGCTTTGAGAAGGTGAGCGGAAAGTTGAGGTTGGGGGCGTGGTGTGGCACTGAAACTAGACAACAGCAGAGGGTATAGGGAAAAAGTAATCAGAGGACAAAGGAGAAGAAAGCTGCATCCCAGCATATGAGGCTCATCACCAGGAATCTGGAGTCTTAACAAGGTCAGCAAAATAATCGGCAGGATTGCCACCACGGGCAAGACATCACTGAGCCACGTGTAATAATGTTCTTGTCCACTTCTCAGATCCCCAAATGTGCCTTAGAGCCCCACACAGCACAGTATTCCAGGCAGCTGCTACTATTTGTCTGAATTTGCACATGAGTGACGTTATTTGCCATCGCAGGGTCAAGGCAGTCCTATGTGAATATTTCTGAGGCTCTTTTCTGAGAAAATAGGAAGAAAATCAAGTCCCAGGGTCTCCCACATCATAGGGACACATAAGCTCCCAGTGTGACCAGAAAAGCATAAGACTGCCGGAACAACTCCTATTTCTTCACATTTACTTTACTTTACTTTTTTTTTTCTTTTTGAGACAGAGTCACGCTCTTGTCGCCCAGGCTGGAGTGCATTGGTGCCATCTCGGCTCACTGCAACCTCCGCCTCCCAGGTTCAAGCAATTCTCCTGCCTCAGCCTCCTGAGTAGCTTTATAGTTTCAGGTCTTACATTTGAGTCTTTATTCCACTTTGAGTTGATTTTTGGGTATGGTGCGAGATAAGGCTCTAATTTCATTCTTCGGCATGTGGATAGCCAGTTTTCCTAACACCATTTATTAAAGAGACTGTCAAAAATAAAAATAAAGAGACTGTTTTTTTCTCACTGTGTGTTCTTGGCACCTTTGTTACCAATCAATTGACCACAATTGTTAGATCGATTGGCTCTAACTCTGCTTTCATGGTGTTATTTTCCCAGCTCAAGATGTGGCTCATCAAAAACATCTTCAGGCCGGTGGCTCATGCCTGTAATCCCGATACTTTGGGAGGCCAAGGCAGGCAGATCACCTGAGGTCAGGAGTTCGAGACCAGCCTGGCCAACATGGTGAAACCCCCGTCTCTATAAAAATACAAAAGTTAGCCAGATGTGATGGCGGACGCCTATAATCCTAGCTACTTGGGAGGCTGAGGTATGAGAATCGCTTGAACCCGGGAGGTGGAGGTTGCAGTGAGCCAAGATCGCACCACTATACTCCAGCCTGGGTGACAAAATGAGACTCTGTCTCAAAAAAAAAATAAAAATAAAAATAAAAACATCTTCAGGGAACTACTCAGTCCTCCAACAAGATTCCTTCTCAGTGATGCACCTTTGTCCTTGGGCTGACGCCATCCTCCATACCCCAGTTACTCACTCTTCATACTGTTGTTTTCCATTAGGCCACACACCTGCCCACAATGCTATCCTTGTTCCCACTGCGACTACAAACCATAACTGTGATGATACCTCAGGACCTCTCTCAAATAAAGGGTCCCTTTGTTTCTGGGGCTTAATTCTGTTGCCAACAGCCACAGATTCTCTCTCCGGACAAATCTCGGGATCATGGCCTTCCTCCCTCATTCAAACTCACTCTACCATCTGCAGTAGTGAGTCATTCAAACCATGGTTTTTGATTTCACTATTTTAATGCCATATAAGAAATCTTGAGGTATAGATCTCACACAGGTGAGCAAAATATAGGCTTTGAGTTTGGTTTAAAACAACAATAACAAAAAAAATCCAAACTTTATATGTACCCAACATAGTTTACAAAATCCTCTCATATGTGTTAACTATGGTCAGAGTCCCTTGAAGCTTAGACTGTCTATGGCAACTGTAGATAAGGTATTTGCAGGCAAGGGAGGCCAGAAGTTTAGTGACATGTCAAAGTTTACTCAGATCGAGGCTGGGCGTGGTGGTTCACACCTGTAATCCCAGCACTTTGGGAGGCCAAGGCAGGTGGATCACCTGAGGTCAGGAGTTCAAGACCAGCCTGACCAACATGGAGAAACCCCGTCTCTACTGAAAATACAAAATTAGCTGGGTGTGGTGGCGCATGCTTGTAATCCCAGCTACTTGGAAGGCTGGGGCAAGAGAATCGCTTTAACCCAGGAGGCAGAGGTTGCAGTGAGCTGAGATTGCGCCATTGCACTCCATGCGGGGCAACAAGAGCAAAACTCCGTCTCAAAAAAAAAAAAAAAAGAAGAAGAAGGGAAGAGGTCAGGATTTGCACCTATATCTGCCGATTTCTCATCAGGCTCTTCTCACTACAACCTGATAGCCTTCCTAAAGTCCCACTTAACACACAATCTGCCTCTGCTCCTTTATGGGACCCTGAAGATTCCCAGGCCTGTTTTGCTACTGTTTTTGTTTTGGAGGTTTTTGTTTGTTTGTTTGTTTGTTTTGAGGCGGAGTTTCACTCTTGTTGCCCAGGCTAGAGTGCAATGGCATGATCTCAGCTCACTGTAACCTCTGCCTCCCAGGTTCAAGGGATTCTCCTGCCTCAGCCTTTCAAGTACCTAGGATCACAGGTGCCTGCCACCATGCCCGGCTAATTATTTATTTATTTTTTTTAGGAGAGATGAGGTTTGCCATGTTGGCCAGGCTGGTCTTGAACTCTTGACCTCATGTGATCCACCTGCCTCAGCCTCCCATAGTGCTGGGATTACAGGTGTGAGCCACCGCACCCAGCCTTGCTACTGTTTTGACCATTATTCAGCTAATGGTCAAGATGTGTCCAATTAAATTTTTTAAAATTAATTTAATTTATCATTTTTTTAAAAAAAGACAGGCCTCACCATGATGCCCAGGCTGGTCTCAAACTCCTGGCCTCAAGTCATCTTCCTGTCTCAGCCCTCCAAAGTAACAGGATTACTGTGAGCCACCACACCCAGCCAAAAAAATTTTTCATAAACTACTCAGTCTTCCAACAAGATCCCTTCTTTATGATGAAATCTTTCTCATAGTCAGCTAATGGTCAAAACAGGAAACTTCAAATCTAACATTCAGCAAATCCACATTTGCCTTATGTGTGCATAAAGCATCCCCCTTCTACCAAAATAAAACCCTGTACAATGATGGCGTTTGGGTTACTTAGCTGGCTTCAATACTTGAGTTACTTTAAGACCTCATTCGAAACAAGCACACGCACAAAGCCATCTTGAGTCCTCTCTTCTCACTCCAACCACTCCTCCACTGCCCTTCCTGACTCTTAGCATTTGAGTTAAGTTGACTTGTTGTAGCTTGCGTTGTCTTGTGAGAATATTTGTTTTTCCTTTTTTTTTTAATTTTTTTGAGACAGAGTCTTGCTCTGTTGCCTAAGCTGGACTGCAGTGGCGTGATTTCGGCTCACTGTAACCTCTACCTCCTGGGTTCAACAATTCTGCCTCAGCCTCTCGAGTAGCTGGGATTACAGGCACCCGCCACCACGTCCAGCTAATTTTTGTATTTTTAGTAGAGACGGGGTTTCACTATGTTAACCAGGCTGGTCTCAAACTCCTGACCTTAAGTGATCCACCCACCTCAGCTTCCCAAAGTGCTGAAATTACAGGCGTAAGCCACCATGCCCAGCCATTATAAGAGTATTTTCCATCTCCTCACTCAGTTCTCCACCCTTAGGCATTGCACCTGTGGCACAGAACTGACCAGAGATGGTCTGTACAGGTTGACTGACAAATGCTTACATGGGGCCGGGGCAGTGGCTCATGCCACCCAACATTTTGGGAGGCCAAGGCGGGTGGATCACTTGAGGTCAGGAGTTCAGCACCAGCCTGGCCAACGTAATGAAATCCCATCTCTGCTAAATCCCGTCTTTGCAAAAAATACAAAAAATAGCCGGGTGTGGTGGCACAGGCCTGTAATCCCAGCTACTTGGGAGGCTAAGGCAGGAGAATCACTTGAATCTGGGAGGCAGAGGTTGCAGTGAGCCAAGATCACACCATTGCACTCCAGCCTGGGCAACAAGAGCTAAACTCCATCTCGAAAAAAAAAAAAATCCTTATATGGAAAGTCTTCTGAGATTACCTCGAATTTTAACAGTGACCTTCAAGAAACAGTACCTTAACACAGAAGTCTAATGGCAGGAATTTTAGGCACAGGGTAAAAGTGGTAAAAAGAGCAAAGTAGCCAGCTGACTTTTCAGAGCCCCTCACATCACATTAGATCAATAGGTTTTCTTGGTTGGTTTTTTGTTTTGTTTTATTCTGTTTTTAGACCAAGTCTCGCTCTGTCGCCCAGGCTGGAATGCAGTGGCATGATCTCAGCTCACTGCAACCTCTGCCTCCCGGGTTCAAGCGATTTTCCTGCCTCAGCCTCCCAAATAGCTGGGATTACAGGCGCCCACCACCACACCTAACTAATTTTTGTATTTTTAGTAGAGACAGGGTTTCACCATGTTGGCCAGGCTGGTCTCAAACTTCTGACCTCAGGTGATCCACCTGCCTCAGCCTCCCAAAGTGCTGGGATTACAGGTGTGAGCCACCACACCCGGCTTTTCTTTGAGACAGAGTCTCACTCTGTTGCCCAGGCTAGAGTACAGTGGTGTGATCTTGGCTCACTGCAGCCTCCACCTCCCGGGTTCAAGTAATTCTCCTGCCTCAGCCACCCAAGTAACTGAGATTACAGGCGTGCACCACCATGCCCAGCTAATTTTTGTATTTTTAGTAGAGACAAGATTTCACCATGTTGGCCAGGCTGGCCTTTAACTCCTGACCTTAAGTTATTTGCCCACCTCAACCTCCCAAAGTTCTGGGATTACAGGCGTGAGCCAGCCCCCACCCCCGGCCTCAATAGTTATTTGAATTCAACTTCTGTGTAGGATTGGATGAAAAACACTGACTGACACTAGAGTCCACAATTTTTTTTTCTTTCTTTTTTTCTTTTTTTTTTTTTTTAGAGATGGAGTCTTGCTCTTTTCCAGACTGGAGTACAGCGGCGCAATCTTAGCTCACTGCAACCTCCGCCTCCCGGGTTCAAGCAATTCTCCTGCCTCAGTCTCCTGAGTAACTAGGACTACAGGCTCATGCCGCCACGCCCAGCTAATTTTTTGTATTTTAGTAGAGACGGGGTTTCACCGTGTTGCCCAGGCTGGTCTCGAACTCCTGAGCTCAGTCAATCCACCTGCCTCGGCCTCCCAAAGCACTGGGATTACAGACGTGAGCCACCACGCCCAGCCTCAATAGTTATTTGAATTCAACTTTTTTATAGGATTAGATGAGAAACAATGGCTGACACTAGAGTCCACAATTTCTATATAATATCTGAAGGTCAGAGATCCAAAATGCAGAAACTAGATGACTGACTTATGAGACTGGTTGATCTTGACTGTGGATATTAGAAAACTTAAAATAGGGGAGACTTTCAAATGGAATTGAGGTGAAGTATGTGTGCAACCAGTGTAAGGAGCAGATGTTTGCAGATATTTCTTTTATTTTTATTTTTGAAACGGAATCTCACACTGTTGCCCAGGCTGCAGTACAGTGCTGTGATGTGGGCTCACTGCAGCCTCCAACTCCCAGGCTCAAGTGATCCTCCCGCTTCAGCCTCCTGAGTAGCTGGAGCTATAGGTGTGTGCCACAATGCTCCGCTAATTTTTTGCATTTTTTGTAGAGGTGGAGTCTCCCTGTGTTGCCCAAACTGATCTCAAACTCCTGGGCTCAAGCAATCCTCCTGCCTCTGCCTCCCAAAATTCCAAGATTACAGGCAGGAGTCACCATGACAAGCCTGCAGATATTTCAAATCCATCTGGGTTTCTGCTTCTCCTCATCTTTCTTGTCTCATTAGACATACCTTTTAAACTCTATTTGGCATTTCCTTATTTTTCCATAGGGCCACCCCTGAATCAGCAATTTTGTAAAGTTGTACTCAACCGATGCTCAAAACTAGACTCTTCTCCACTTGTGATTGAGCATGTAATTTGACCTAACAGTGCTGGACCCAAGGAAGTTGAGATTGTTCTTGGCAGTGTCTTTGGTGCCAAAATGTTGGAAGAATCTGGGCCCATTTCCAGCACTAATGGGCAATTGTTGAAAGTCACCAGATCCCACAAGGGTAAAAGCAGCATTACCAGCAGAGATGGACAAACATGTCCAAACTGGGTAAGCAGGTGACATCTCCCATCATCCTAATAATCACTGCTTAATATGGGATGTGGGTTGTAAGAATGACAGGAGACGGGCTGAACCCAGAGGGGCTGGGCTGTGCGGAGACGGATATAAATGATTGTATTAGGACTTTTCAAAATCAAGGGAATTCCCTTCTCTTGACAAGGACTAGGTGTTAAATTATGCAATGCAGTGGACATTTCAGCCTTCTCAGAGAACAAAGAACAGTTCTGCCCCTTTAGTCTCTACTCAAAACAATTGCACCCAACATTCACATATTATTTTGTTTCAGCCCAGCCTTCAGCTTGTGTGACTGGCCAACTGCCCTAAAATCATCTAACACATGAATTCTTTTTATTTTATTTTTATTATTTATTTATTTTTTTTCTTTTGAGATGGAGTTTCACTCTTGTTGCCCAGGCTGGAGTGCAGTGTCACAATCTCGGCTCACTGCAACCTCTGCCTCCTGGGTTCAAGCGATTCTCCTGCCTCAGCCTCCCGAGTAGCTGGGATTACAGGTGTGCACCACCACGCCTGGCTAATTTTTGTATTTTTAGTAGAGATGAGGTTTCTCCATGTTGGTCAGGCTTATTTAATCTCAATTACCTCCTTAAAGGCCTTATCTCTAAATACAGTCACATTTGGGATTAAGGCTTCGACATATAAATTTTGGGGGAATGCAGTTCAGTCTGTAACACCATGCCTCACCCCAGATCAATTAAAATTTGGAGGAGGAGGCTGGGAGCGGTGGCTCACGCCTGTAATCCCAGCACTTTGGGAGGCCAAGGTGGTGGTATGCAACTGTAGTCCCAGCTACTCAGGAGGCTGAGGTAGGAGAAACACTTGAACCCAGGAGGCGGAGGTTGCAGTGAGCCGAGATTGCGCCACTCACTCCAGCCTGGCGACAGGGCGACAGTGTGAGACTCTGTCAAAAAAAAAAAAAAATTTGGAGAAGGAGGGCAAGCATTGGTACCTTTTCTTTTTTCTTTTCTTTTCTTTCTTTTTTTTTTTTTTTTTGAGACACGGTTTCACAGTGTTGCCCAGGCTGGAATGCAGTGGCATGATCACAGCTCACTGCCTCCCATCTCAGCTACCTGAGTAGCTAGGACCACAGGCATGCACCACCATGCTCAGCTAATTTTTTTTTAAATTTTTTGTAGAGACAGGGGTCTCACTATGCTGCCCAAACTGGTCTGGAACTCCTGGGCTCAAGCAATCTGCCCACCTCGACCTCCCAAAGTGCTGGGATTACAGGCATTAGCCACCGTGCCCAGCCAGCATTGGTACTTTTAAAAGAGTTCTCCAGGCTTGGCCAAGCATGATGGCTCATGCCTGTAATCCCAGCACTTTGGGAGGCTAAGGCAAGAGGATCACTTCAGGTCAGGAGTTTTGAGACCAGCCTGGCCAACATGGCAAAACCCAGTCTCTACTAAAAATACAAAAATTAGCCAGGCGTGGTGGCAGGCACCTGTAGTCCCAGCTACTCGGGAGGCTGAGGCAGGAGAATCGCTTGAACCTGGGAGGAGGAAGTTACAGTGAGCTGAGATGGTGCCACTGTAGTCCAGCCTGGGCGACACAGTCAGACTCCATCTCAAAAAAAAAAAAAAAAAAAAAAAAAATGAGCCCTCCGGGGTTAAGAACCACTCATAAAGCATGAGCTTTGAAGACAATCCCACACTCCCCTTGGGCTTCTGCTATTTCCCATGTACCTAGGAAAGTGCCCTGAGCTCTGAGTTTAGGTTCCTCTCCTATAAAATGGGAGTACTATTAGCACACAGGGTTCATGTGAGAATTAAATGAGATACTGCAGACAAAGCACTTCACACCTGCCAGGCTGTCGCAGGTACTATACAATGGCAGTTCCCACTCAGCTACTCCTGCCATGAAGAAGGAGACAGAGAGATTTTCCTGAGGCAGCAGGCAACAGTTGGAAGAAAAGGGGAGCAGGAAAGGGTGTTTGTGTGAGGAAGGTTATCCTTTGCGTGAGGAAGCACAATTAAGTAAACTGAATGTTGAAAGAGAACAAGAGGCTGGGCGTGGTGGCTCAGGCCTGTAATCCCAGGACTTCGGGAAGCTCAGGTGGGCGGATCACCTGAGGTCAGGAGTTGGAGACCCATCTGGCCAACATGGCGAAACCCCGTCTCTACTAAAAATACAAAAAATTAGCCTGGCGTGGTGGTGCACGCCTGTCGTCCCAGGTACTCGGGAGGCTGAGGCATGAGAATTGCTTGAACCCGGGAGGCAGAGGTTGCAGTGAGTCGAGATCGCGCCACTGCACGCCAGCCTGGGCGACATAGCAAGACTCTGTCTGAAAAAGAAAAGAAGGCCAGGCACAGTGGCTCACGCCTATAATCCCAGCACTTAGGGAGGCCAAGTCAGGTGGATCACGAGGTCAGGAGTTCAAGACCCGCCTGACCAATATGGTGAAACCTTGTCTCTACTAAAAATACAAAAATTAGCTGGGCATGGTGGTGCATACCTGTAGTCCCAGCTACTCAAGAGGCTGAGGCACGAGAATCGCTTGAACCCGGGAGGTGGAGGTTGCATAGAGCCGAGATTGCGCCATTACACTCCAGCCTGGGCAACAGAGCGAGACTCTGTCTCAAAAAAAAAAAAAGAGAAGGAGATATGTTTACAGATTTAGGCGTCTTCTTCCCTACTCGGGAATAAAGAGGCAGTTTTCTTGCTGGGCATCAGGTGGCGCCAGCAACCTACAGACAAGAATTTCAACTGTGGCCGGGAAAGTGGATGAGGAAGGACAGTTGAGTCCCAGGTCTCCCTGATGCAGCTGCCACTTTGTCTAGACAGAGAGTCTTCAATCATTTGTCTAAATTTCAGTTAACCCATGAAATTCAGTATGTGGACTAATCCACCTCCTCTAGATTTTTTCTAATTATTTTGATATCAAGAGATATGTATAAACATGCATACTCTTATGTTTGTGGTGTTTTCTTAGACTGGCCGAAGATATTCTCTTTCATTGCAGTCATAGGATTATTCCCTGAGACGAATTATTTGATATTGTCATAAAGATTGACCTAGGCCAGACAGCATTTACCCATCTGTTACATTCAAACAGTTTCTCTCTGATATGAATTATCTGGGGTAGAGTAAGGCATGAACTATAATTGCAG
The DNA here is from genome assembly GCF_000001405.40 of Homo sapiens. Taxonomy (NCBI): domain Eukaryota; kingdom Metazoa; phylum Chordata; class Mammalia; order Primates; family Hominidae; genus Homo; species Homo sapiens. Next base: position 5,062,153 of record NC_000017.11, on the reverse strand, counting down.
GACTTCCAATATTTATGTCACTCACAGGTTTTCTCCCCAGAGGTAATTCTTTGATGTGGACGAAGATTTGAGCTCTGATTAAAGGCTGACCACATTCAATAAATTATGGGATTTCTCTCCTGAGCAAATTCGGTGATGTAGAATAAGATGAGGATTCTGAGGAAAGGCTTTCCTGCAGTCTTTACATTCAAAGGATTTCTCTTCTAACATGAAGTCTCTAGTAAGGCTAAATTATAGCTAAATATTTACCTGCACTCCTTACTTTTTTTTTTTTTTTTTTTCCTTGAGACAGAGTTTCGCTCTTGTTGCCCAGGCTGGAGTGCAATGGCGCAATCTCGGCTCACTGCAACCTCCACCTCCCGGGCTCAAGGAGCTCTCCTGCCTCAGCCTCCCGAGTAGCTGGGATTACAGGCACGCACCACCACGCCTCGCTAATTTTTTTTTGTATATATATATATTTTTTGTTTGTTTGTTTGAGACAGAGTCTCGCACTGTTGCCCAGGCTGGAGTGCAGTGGCATGATCTCAGCTCACTGCAAGCTCCGCCTCCGGGTTCACGCCATTCTCTGCCTCAGCCTCCCGAGTAGCTAGGACTACAGGCACCCACCACCACGCCTAGCTACTTTTTTGTATTTTTAATAGAGACGGGTTAGCCAGGATGGTCTCGATCTCCTGACTTCGTGATCTGCCTGCCTCGGCCTACCAAAGTGCTGGGATTACAGGCGTGAGCCACTGCGCCAGGCCATTTTTTTCTATTTTTAGTAGAGATGGAGATTCACCATGTTGGCCAGGCTGGTCTCAAACCCCTGACCTCGGGTGATCCGCCCATCTGGGCTTTCCCAAAGTGCTGGGATTACAGGCGTGAGCCACTGCATCTGGCCGACACTCCTTACTTTCACAGGGTTTTTTTCCAATGTGAATTGTGTGATGTTCAGTAAGACCTAAGCTCTAGCTGAAGGCTCTTCCACACTCGACGCCCTTACAGGGTTTTCCCCCCAAATGAATTATCTGATGTTGAACAAGTTGAGATCACCACCTGAAATATTTTCCAGCCAGGGGTGGTGGTTCTTTCCTGTAATCCCAGTACTTTGGGAGGCCGAGGCAGGAGGATGACTTGAGCCCAGAATTTCCAAACCAGCCTGGACCACATAGGGAGACCCTGTCTCTACAAAAACTAAAACAATTAGCCAGGCATGGTGGCACGCACCTGTAGTCCCAGCTACTCGGGAGGCTGAGGTGGGAGGATCGCTTGAGCCTGAGGGGTCGAGGCTACAGTGAGCCATGATCATGCGACTTTACTCCAGCCTAGGCAACAGAGCAAGACTCTGTCTCAAAAAAATGTTCCCACATTTATTACATTCATAAGTCTTTCTACTATGAATTCAACAATATCTAATGAGCTCTAACTTCCCTTTGAAAGTGCTCTCACTGCTGGGCGCGGTGGCTCACACCTGTAATCCCAGCACTTTCGGAGGCCAAGGTGGGTGGATCACAAGGTCAAGAGTTTGAGAACAGCCTGGCCAATATGGTAAAACCCCATCTCTACTAAAAATACAAAAATCAGTGAGCATGGTGGTGGATGCCTGTAGTCCCAGCTACTCAGAAGGCTGAGGCAGGAGAATCACTTGAACCCGGGAGGCAGAGATTGCAGTGAGCAGAGATCGCACCACTGCACTCCAGCCTAGGTGACAGAGCAAGACTCCATCTCAAAAGAAAAAAAAAAGTGCTCTCACATCTACTCTGTTCATAGGATTCTTCCATAATATGAATTCTCTGATTAGAGTATAGCGTTATGGACTGAATATATGTGTTCCCAAAAAATTCATACGTTAAAGACCCAACTCATGGCATGGCTATATTTGGAATAATTAATTGGAAGTAATTAAGGTTCAATGAAGTCATAAATTTGAGGCCCTGGCCAGAAGCAGTGGCTCAGACCTGTAATCCCAACACTTTGAGAGGTCAAGACAGGAGGATGGCTTGAACCATGGAGTTTCAGACCAGCCTGGGCAACATAGTGAGATGCCATCTCTACAAAAAATTTAAAAATTAGCTGGGCATGGTGGTGCATGATTGTGGTCCCAGCTACTCAGAAGGCTGAGGTGGGAGGATCCCTTGAGCCAAGGAGACCGAGGCTACAGTGAACCATGATCACTGGAGCCAAGGAGACTGAGGCTACAGTGAACCATGATCGCTGGGCTACTGCACTGCAGCGTGGGCGACAGGGTGAGACCCTGTCTCAAAAAAAGAGATGAAGAAGAAGGAGAAGGAGAAGAAGAAAGAAGAAAGAAGGAGAAGGAGATGGAGATGGAGAAGTAGAGGAAGGAGGAGAAGGAGGAGGAGGAGGAGGGGGGAGGAGGGAGGAGGGAGAAAGGAAGAAGGAGAAAGAAGAGACACCAGAGAGCTCTCTCATCCTCTCCCTTTCTCCCTCCCTCTCCCCAGCACTCCCCTAACTGCCCCACCACCACCTCCCCATAACCTGCACACTTGCACAGAGGAAAGGCCACGTGAGGACATAGCGAGAAGACAGCCATCTGCAAGCCAAGCAGAGAGCCTTCCCCAGAAACCAAATTGGGTGGAACCTTGATACTGGACGTCTACCCTCCACAGCTGTGAGAAAATAAATGTCTGGTTTAAGCCACCCAGACATGGGTGCCTGTGTCCTTGAGACAGAGGAAAAATGATGACATGGTATTTCATCATGGCAGCCTGAGCAAACTAATACATATGGTGTTAATTTTCTTTGCCACGTATGTCACGTTTTCACCTAGCTCACTGGTAAAGATTTTTTTTTTTTTTTTTTTTTTGAGACAGAGTCTCACTCTGTTGCCCAGGCTGGAGTGCAGTGGTGCGTGCAGGGGTGTGATCTCGGCTCACTGCAACCTCCGCCTCCTGGGTTCAAGCTATTCTCCTGCCTCAGCCTCCTGAGTAGCTGGTATTACAGGCGCACTACCAAGCCTGGCTTTTTTTTTTTTTTTTTTCAGTAGAGACGGGGTTTCACCATCTTGGTCAGGCTGGTCTTGAACTCCTGACCTCGTGATCAGCCCGCCTCAGCCTCCCAAAGTGCTGGGATTACAGGCATGAGCCACTGCGCCGGGCAAGATTATTTTTAATGATACAACTTTGTTGGGGGCAGGGGTGGGAGGTAAGAGCACTTGTTCATTGTTAGAGGATTGCAAATTGGTACAAATTACAGGGAGAGCAAATCTTCCCAAAGGTAATAGTCATGCACCCTTTGACTGAGCAAATCCACTTCCCAAACGTATTCTGCAGATACTCTTGTCTGTAAATTTACATGAATACAAAGTTATTCGGTGCAACGTTGTTCATAACACCAAATAGTGTGAAACAGTTTAAATGTATCCACAGGGAAGTGGTTTAATTAATTAAGATACACCCATAAAATGGGTTAACAGTCAGGGTGGCTCATGCCTGTAATCCCAGCACTTTGAGAGGCTGAGGCAGGTGGATCCTTTGAGTCCAGGAGTTCGAGACCAGCCTGGGCAACATGGTGAAACCCTGTTTCCACACAAACAAAAATATAAACATTAGCCGGGCGTAGTGGTGCTTGCCTGTAGTCCCAGCTACTTAGGAGGCTGATGTGGGACGATCAGTTGAGCCCAGGAGGCAGAGGTTGCAGTGAGCCAAGATTGTGACACTGCACTCCAGCCTGGGAAACAGAGCAAGAACCTGTCTCAAAAAAAAAAAAAAAAAAGGCTGGGCGTGGTAGCTCATGCCTGTAATCCCAGTACTTTGGGAGACCGAGGTGGGTGGATCACCTGAGGTCGGGAGTTCAAGACCAGCCTGGCCAACATGGTGAAACCCTGTCTCTACTAAAAATACAAAAATTAGCTGGGCATGGTGTCACATGCCTGTAATCCCAGCTACTTGTGGGGCTGAGGTAGGAGAATCGCTTGAACCTGGGAGGCAGAGGTTGCGGTGAGCTGAGATCATGCCATTGCACTCCAGCCCGGGCAACAAGAGTGAAACTCTGTCTAAAAAAAAAAAAATTAGCTGGGCATGGTGGCACGTGCCCGTTATCCCAGCTACTCGGAAGGCTGTGGCAGGAGAATCGCTTGAACCCGGAAGTCGGAGGTTGCAGTGAGCGGAAATCGTGCCATTGCACTCCAGCCTGGCGATAGAATGAGACTCTGTCTCAAAAAAAAAAACAAAAAAAAACATAAAAAAGTGGTTCCCAAAAACACTGTGGCTTCCAAAGTGGGAACCAACAGGGCAGGACAGCCTGTGTCCTCAACAAACTCGGAAATTTGTGCTGGGGGAAGGAATATTGGGTCATCACAAGAGAAACCAATGGGGTTAGTGGCAGGACTGAACAAAGGATAAAGCAGTGATGATTCTTTTCAACAGGGAAGTTCTCAGTGTGGGCAGCCTGTGGATTCAGTACTCTCACCTATCCCTGACCTGCCTTTAGGGGCTGTGGCCCTTCCTACCATATGCCCTCCCTACCTGCCGCTTTGCCCTTTGGCCATTTCTTCTCTTCTTGTGTTTCTTTCCCACTTCTACTCTTATTTCTCTCTTCCTCTCAACTTTTTCTTCTTCCTAGAAGGTTTGTGTTTTTTTTTTTTTTAAACTGGTGAAGTTCTATGCTGAAAATCACAGAAGGTTTAGAGTTCCCTAAGGGCCAAAAGGATTGCTGACTCTTACTAAACTTAGTAACCTTAAACGAAATTTGAATCCACTAGAGGAGCCTAGTAAAAATCAATCAAATGGATGGGCGCGGTGGTTCACGCCTGTAATCCCAGCACTTTGGGAGGCGGAGGCAGGCAGATCACGAGGTCAAGAGATCGAGACCATCCTGGCTAATATAGTGAAACCCCGTCTCTACTAAAAAGACAAAAATTAGCCAGGCGTGGTGGTGCGCGCTTGTAGTCCCAGCTACTCGGGAGGCTGGGGCAGGAGAATTGCTTGAACCCGGGAGATGGAGGGTGCAGTGAGCTGAGACCACACTACTGCACTCCAGCCTGGCGACCGAGCAAGACTCCGTCTCTAAAAGAAAAAAAAAATCAGTCAAACATATTTTAAGATCTCTGCATTTATTGAGCACACTGGAGTTACACTCAGTCTAATGGAAGAGGTGGACATGTAAAATCAAAGTTATCTGAAGTAAAGTACTTAATATAATGCTCTGCATGCTCAGAGCACTACAGGCACGCGCCACCTTGCCTGACTAATTTTTGTATTTTTTTGTAGAGACCGGGTTTCACCATGTTGCCCAGGCTGGTACAGACTGTAGTTAAGAGTATATATATCCGTAGGCTGGGAGCCGCGGCTCACGCCTGTAACCCCAACACTTTGGGAAGCCAAGGCAGGTGGATCACTTGAGCTCAGGAGTTTGAGACCAGCGTGGGTAACATGGCAAAACTCCATCTCTACTAAAAATACAAAAATTAGCCGGGCATGGTGGTACCCACCTGTAATCCCAGCTACTCAGAAGGCTGAGGCACGAGAATTGCTTGAACTCGGGAGGCAGAGGTTGCAGTGACCCGAGATCATGCCACTGCACTCCAGCCTCGGAGACAGAGTGAGGCTAAAAAAAAAAGTATATATATATTAAATATTATATTTGTTATGTATATATAACAAATTTGTGAACCTGAACAAGAAACTGACAGCAGTAAAAGAAACACAGACCAGGCTGGGCGCAGTGGCTCACGCCTGTAATCCCAGCACTTTTGGATGCCGAGGGGGACAGATCACCTGAGGTCAGGAGTTAAAGATCAGCCTGACCAACATGGAGAAATCCCATCTCTACTAAAAATACAAAATTAGCCGGGCGTGGTGGTGCATGCCTGTAATCCCAGCTACTCGGGAGGCTGAGGCAGGAGAATCACTTGAACCCGGGAGGCAGAGGTTGTGGTGAGCCAAGATCACACCATTGCACTCCAGCCTGGTCAACAAGAGCAAAACTCCAAAAAAAGAAAGAAAGAGGCCAAGTGCGGTGGCTCACACCTATAATCCCAGCACTTTGGGAGGCCGAGGCAGGCGGATCACGAGGTCAGGAGATCAAGACCATCCCGGCTAACACGGTGAAACCCCGTCTATACTAAAAATGCAAAAAAATTAGCCAGGCATGGTGGCGGGTGCCTGTAGTCCCAGCTACTCAGGAGGCTGAGGCAGGAGAATCACTTGAACCCGGAAGCAGAGGTTGCAGTGAGCCGGGATCGTGCCATTGCATTCCAGCCTGGGTGACAAAAGCGAAACTCTGTCTCAAAAATTAAAAAAAAAAAAAAAAAAAAAAAAAGGAAAAGAAAAGAAATGAAAAAGAAAGTGAAGGGGAGAAAAGCATCTGTAAAAGCCCAAGGGTGGTAGGATGAGAGCTCGTTTCCCTGTGCACCTGGGGATGCACACTCCCCTGGAGGACCAGGGAGGCGCCCTCGTCCTCTTAGGGCCACTCTAGGTGAGGAGAAGGAACCGTCTATTGTCCTAGAAAGGCCGATCCTCTCTAGGCTTCCAAATCGATGGTGAGCTGGAAGAGTGGTGATGCGGCTCATCTTCAGAGCGCTTTCTTGTGCTGTCGTTGTCCTCCAGAGAAGAGGTTGGGGGCTGTGCAAGATGGGACAATGACCACCCAGGGTAGGCCCATGTCATAGTATGGCAGTGCCGAGGCCTTAAAAATCTATGGTTTTTTGTTTTTTTTTTTGAGGTGGAGTTTCGCTCTTGTTGCCCAGGCTGGAGTGCAGTGGCGCGATCTTGGCTCACCGCAACCTCCACTTCCCGGGGGTTCTAGCAATTCTCCTGCCTCAGCCTCCTGAGTAGCTGGGATTACAGGCATGCACCACCATGCCCGGCTAATTTTGTATTTTTAGTAGAGACGGGGTTTCTTCATGTTGGTCAAGCTGTTCTCGAACTCCCGACCTCAGGTGATCTGCCCGCCTCGGCCTCCCAAAGTGCTGGGATTACAGGCGTGAGCCACCACACCCAGCCAAATGCTGAGTTCTTATCATGAGTGATGATGATGAGTTATGGCTATTTCGAGCTGCTAGAGGCCTGCCTTTTTTTTTTTTTTTTTTTTTTTTTTTTATTGTAATGCAGGACGGGAAATGCAACAAACAGCCTCCATGTTCTTGCTGTCTGGGGATGGTATGAGACGTATTCCTTCCTCAGGGCCTTTGCATATCCTATTCTCTCTTCCTAGAATGCTCTTCCTCCAGAGCCCTTATGTCTCTTTCACCTCTTTTATACTCTACCCAAAAGTCTGCCATCCTATCTAATAGTTCAGTGTCCTACCTCCCTCCAGTCACACACTTTATAGCCCCCTTTCTCACTTTATATTTTCTAAACAGTTGTCTTTGTTTTGTTTTGTTTTTGTTTTTGTTGTTTTTGTTTGAGACGGAGTCTCGCTCTGTCACCCGCACGGGAGTGGCTGCTCCTGCATCCTCCACCTCCTGGATTCAAGCGATTCTTCTGCCTCAGCCTCTCAAGTAGCTGGGAATACAGGTATGTGCCACCACATCCAGCTAATTTTTGTATTTTTAGTAGAGACAGAGTTTTGCCATGTTGGCCACGCTGGTTTCGAACTCCTGACCTCAGGTGATCCACCTGCCTCAGCCTCCCAAAGTGCTGGGATTAAGACATAAGCCACCACGCCCGGCCCGTACTACATATTTTATTTACTTTTTAAATTATTGTTTTGTTTTCTCCTCTGATTGTATAATTCACGAGGGCAGGGATTATTGTTAGGTTTTTTTTTTCACTGCTCTGTCCCCAGAGCCTAGACCCACACTATCTAGGTACATACAAATATAGAGAATGAGGGCCTACAGTGGAACACAGGACTGTGAAGTAGGTCCTGGGAAAGATACAAAGAGGTGTGAGATGTTACCCTTGCCTAAGAGGAGTTACAGATGAGGTGAAGTCAGTACACTTAGGGGCACCCACCTCAAATGAAAAGTGAAATCTGGCCGGGTGCAGCAGCTCATACCTGTAATCCCAGAACTTTGGGAGGCCAAGGCAGATGGATCACCTGAGGTCAGGAGTTCGAGACCAGCCTGAGCAACATGGTGAAGCCCCGTCTCTACTAAAAAAAAAAAAAAAAAAAAAAAAAAAAAATTAGCCAGGTGTGGTGGTGCATGCCTATAATCCCAGCTACTTGGGAGGCTGAGGCATGAGAATTGCTTGAACAGGAGGCGGAGGTTGCAGTAAGCCAAGATCGTGCCACTGCACTCCAGCCTGGGCAAGAGGGAGACTGTCTCAAACAAAAAAAAAAAAAAGAAAAGAAAAGTATTCTCAGGTGCCAAGCCGAGTGTACCAAATGCAAATGCTGTAAGAGGAAAGAAATCAGTGTGGGCTGAGCAAATGGGAGCTCCAGAATATCTGTTGAATGAACAAGCTGTTAGGACTTGCTGGCTGTAACTATAATCAAATAAAAGAAGCAAGGAGTCAAAAAGGACACGGTTTGAGCCGGGATGACTGGAAAGTCAGGGTACTACTGGCAGGTGAGAAAGTTGGGTTGGGCAGGGCATATTAGGTTTCAGGCATATTAACATAACTTCTGCTGGGCGTGGTGGCTCACGCCTGTAATCCCAGCACTTTGGGAGGCCAAGGCAGGCAGATCACCTGAGGTTGGGAGTTCCAGACCAGCCTGACCAAAAATGGAGAAACCTCGTCTCTACTAAAAATACAAAATTAGCCGGGCATGGTGGCAGGCGCCTGTAATCCCAGCTACTCGGGAGGCTGAGGCAGGAGAATCACTTGAACCTAGGAGGCAGAGGTTGTGGTGAGCCGAGATCACGCCATTGCACTCCAGCCTGGGCAACAAGAGTGAAACTCCATCTCAAAAAACAAACAAACAAACAAACAAAAACATAGCTTCTGTGTCTCTGGCTCTTGGCCCCACTCATCAGTGTAGACCCACAAATCCAGACAAAGTACTCACCAGCTATTTGTGCAAACCCCTAAAGGATGTCTTACATGTCCCAGTGAACGAGTCTGGTCATCTGTGGACTGACACCAGCCATTTTCTGCACTTCTTTATTCTCAGGACTCCTTCCGCTGAGTATCAGTTTGTCCTAGCTCCTGGCAACAAATAAATGTCAGGTATTCTTCCTCTGTTCCAAACCTTTCAAAGCTGTAGAGAAGCTGTTATTATAGAGTTATAAAATATTAATGCCACAAGAAACTTAAAAATCAGCCAGTCCAAGCCCCTCATTTAGCAGTTGCCCAAAATGAGGCACAAAAATCCGGAGACCTCCTCGTGGCTTGGTGTAGTGTCCAAGCTGAGATCTGACCAGCACTTTGGGAGGTCATGGCAGGAGGATCACTTGAGCCAGGAGTTCCAGATCAGTCTGTGCAACATGGCAAAACCCTGTCTCTACAAAAATTAGCTGGTTGGCTGGGTGCAGTGGCTCACACCTGTAATCCCAGCACTTTGGGAGGCTGAGGTGGGCGGATCACCTGAGGTCAGAAGTTTGAGATCAGCCTGGCCAACATGGTGAAACCCCATCTCTACTAAAAATACAAAAACTAGCCAGGCATGGTGGCACATGCCTATAGTCCCAGCTACTCGGGAGGCTGAGGCAGGAGAATCCCTTGAACCTGGGAGGAAGAGGTTGCAGTGAGTTGAGATCGTACCATTGGATTCCAGCCTGGGCAACAGAGTGAGATCCTTCTAAACAAAAAAATAGCTAGATATGGTAATGCAACGCCTGTAGTCCCAGCTACTTGGGAGGCTGAGGTGGGAGGATTGCCTGAGCCTGGGAGGTCGAGGCTGTGTTGACTAATGATCACGCCACCGTACTCCAACCTGGGCAACAAGAGCGAGACTCAGTCTCAAAAAAAAAAAAAAAAAAAAAAAAAATCTGTAGTCCTGTTGCCCTTTATTCACTTGGCTTATAGGTGTTATTTTGTCTTTCATTTTCTTTTCTTTTTTTCTTTTTTTTTTTTTTTTTTTTTGAGACGGAGTCTCGCTCTTGTTGCCCAGGCCAGAGTGCAGTGGCGTGATCTCAGCTCACTGCAGCTTCTGCCTCCCTGATTCAAGCGATTCTCCTGCCTCAGCCTCCCGAGTAGCTGGGGTTACAGGCGCCCACCACCACGCCCGGCTAATTTTTGTATTTTTAGTAGAGACAGGGTTTCACCATGTTGGCCAGGATGGTCCCGAAGTCCTGACCTCAGGTAAGCGACCCGCCTCGGCCTCCCAAAGTGCTGGGATTACAGGCCTGAGCCACGGTGCCTGGCCTATCTTTCATTTTCAAAGCTTGTTTTTGAGTGGTGGCATGGGGCACACCCCTGTACTGCTAATGCAAAGGAATATTAGAATCACCATTTGTGAAAGAAACTTGGCAGTCTGTTACAAGAGCCTCAGCTATGTCATACAGTTTCACCCAATAATTCTATTTCAAGAGACTTATCCAGGAAAAAAAAAAAAAAAAAGACCAAAATAAGAAAAGCTTTGTAATGAGCCCTTGTTGCTTTTACCTACCCAGTGCCTCTGTTCCTCTTCTGGTAACTGAATTCCTCCTTCATCTACCAATTTATAGCAGCAGGGTTTGAGATTCTTTCACTGAATTCCAACCAATCAAATTATCTGAAAAGTATTATTTTTCTTTTTTCAGACAGGGTCTCGCTCTTTCACCCAGGCTGGAGCACGGTGGTGTGACCCCAGTTCACTGAAGCCTCAACCTCCTGGGCTCAAGGGATCCTCCCACCTCAGCCTCCTGAGTAGCTGGGACTATAGGTGCACATCAGCATGCCCAACTAAATTTTATTTTTTGTAGAGATGGGGTTTCGCCATGTTGCTTGGGCTGGTCTCGAACTCCTGGGCTCCTGCGATCCGCCCATCTCAGCCTCCCAGAGTGCTGGGACTACAGGCATGGGCCATTGCACCTGGCCTTTAAAATATTCTTTTCTTTTCAAGTGAGAAATGGTATCCTACTGATGTCTTAATTTGCCTTTCTTTGATATATACAGTCAGGGAGAGCATCTTTTCCACATGTCTATTGGCCATGTGTATTTCCCATGAAATATTTCATACCACCCCCCTCACCATTTTACAATATGATCTTTATCAATGTCACAGTGATAGGATATGTCTCTAACCTGTATCTTTTATTTTCTTTCTTTCCTTTTTTTTTTTTTTGATACGGAGTTTTCCTCTTGTCGTCCAGTCTGGAATGCAATGACATGATCTCGGCTCACCACAATCTCCGCCTCCCGGGTTCAAGCAATTCTCCTGCCTCAGCCTCCCGAGTAGCTGGGATTACAGGCATGTGCCACCATGCCCGGCTAATTTTGTATTTTTAGTAGAGACAGGGTTTCGCCATGTTGGTCAGGCTGGTCTCGAACTCCTGACCTCAGGTGATCCACGCCCCCTTAGCGTCCCAAAGTGCTGGGATTACAGGCACGAACTACTATGCCTGGGATTAACCTGTATCTTTTGACTTATTAACTTGTCTGTGCTTACTGGAGTGGCACTCTGAGCTGAGCCTGGACAGGTGAGACTATTTCTAGAGGTTTGTCTATTCTATATATTTCATATAAACAGGATCATACAATATGTTGGAATTGCATCTTTATGTCTCTTTTCAGTAGTCCAATGGCACAATCTCAAAAACAGTCTAACTTCTGAACTTTTGCATACTGTTTGTTTGTGTTCTTCACATCTGGATTTGGCGTTCCCACGCTGGAATGCTGTTTGGGGGGATGATACGCAATCTTCTCTCAGTCTCCATGGTAATCGCTCTGAACTCACCGCCCAGCTGTAGGGCAGCGCTTGCATGTGATCATGATAAACTGCAATATGCATTCAACTGAAATAGAAAAGCAGCTCAAGGATGCACAGCGAAGCTGTGGTTTTTTTTGTTTTTGTTTTTGTTTTTTTGTTTTTTTTTGAGACGATGTTTTGCTCTTGTCGCCCAGGCTGGAGTGCAATGGCAAGATCTCGGCTCAGTGCAACCTCCGCCTCCCAGGTTCAAGTGATTCCATGCCTCAGCCTCCTGAATAGCTGGGATTACAGATGCCTGCCACCACACCCGGCTAATTTTTGTATTTTTAGTAGAGACGGGTTTTCACTGGTCTCGAACTCCTGACTTCAGGTGATCCACCTGCCTCGGCCTCCCAAAGTGCTGGAATTACAGGTTTGAGCCACCGCATCTGGCCTGCAGTGAAGCTTTCTAAGTCTATCTTTTCCTTTCTCCTTTCCTTCCTCGTGTCCCAAAGGCAGGAATATGCCCCTCCTCTTGAAGTTCCTCTGATTGTCCAGTCCTCCACGGAAAATCTTATTATTTGTTTATCAGACCAGAAGCAAAATAAATGCCCTTGAAAGGTGACAAGCAACAGCGTGAGGAGGACCTCGCTTGCCCAGGCAGCTTCCTCCAATCCCACCCTTGCCCCACACCAGAACAGAGGATAATTTCAGCACCCGTGCCTGGGAAGACACCCAAAATGAGTGTCTGTAGTTTGTCCCCTCTTTGAAAGAATGCAGGGCTTGAGAAGGCTCACTTTCCCTGCAGGCCTCTGTCTGGTGCCAGATGTAGGCTCTGTGAAAAGAAGCACAGCTATAACCGGGAGCCTTAAAATAGTCAAAGTTTCTATAACAGAAATTATTAGTGGTGTAGGGGAGCAAAAACAGGCAAAAGAATAGCTGCTTTGAGCTTCAGGCTTTCATTGTGGTTAATAGACAATTGAAATCAAAGAAACATGTTTACTTCTTTTTTCTTTTCTTTTTTTTTTTTTTGACAGGATGTTGCTCAGACTGGAGTGCAGTGGTGCGATCTGGGCTCACTGAGGCCTCAAACTCCTAGGCTCCAGGCTGGGGTGCTGTGGTGTGAACTCAGCTCACCGCAACCTCCACCTCTGGGCTCAAGCGATTCTCCTGCTTCAGCCTCCTGAGTAGCTGGGACTATAGGTACACACCACCACACCTGGCTAATTTTTTTTTTTTTTTTTTTTGAGACAGAGTCTTCCTCTGTCACCAGTCTGGAGTGCAGTGGCATGATCTTAGCTCACTGTAACCTCCGCCTCCTGGGTTCAAGCCATTCTCCTGGCTCAGCATCCCGAGTAGCTGGGATTACAGGCGCCCACCACCACACCCAACTAATTTTTGTATTTTTAGTAGAGACAGGGTTTCACCATGTTGGTCAGGATGGTCTTGGTCTCCTGACCTCGTGATCTGCCCACGTCGGCCTCCCAAAGTGCTGGGATTACAGGTGTGAGCCACCGCTCCTGGCATTTTTTTTCTGTAGAGATGGGGTTTTGCCATGTTGCCCAGGCTGGCCTCGAACTCCTGGGCTCAAAGCAATCCTCCCTCCCCGGCCTCCCAAAGTTCTTGGATTACAGCATGAGCCACCATGCCTGGTGGAAATCCATGTGGAACATGTTTGTTTTCCCTCCACTGGGTTGTAGCCCAGCTTTCACTCCACTATTTGTGTTATTTCTCCACCTCCCACTTCAGCACCTCAGTCTCTTTCATCCTAAGAAAATCCACCTCACCCTGTGGAATTAAAAACATTTAAACCAGCCAGGCACGGTGGCTCACGCCTGTAATCCCAGCACTTTGGGAGGCCGAGGCAGGTGGATCACCTGAGGTCAGGAGTTCAAGACCAGCCTGACCAACATGGTGAAACCCCGTCTCTACTAAAAATACAAAAATTAGCTGGGCATGGTGGTGGGCGCCTGTAATCCCAGCTACTCGGGAGGCTGAAGCAGGAGAATCGCTTGACCCCAGGAGGCGGAGGTTGCAGTGAGCCGAAATCGCACCATTGCACTCCAGCCTGGATGACAAGAGCAAGACTCCATTTAAAAACAAAACAAAACAAAAAACAAAACAAAAAAAAACCCTTTAAACCAAAGAATTTGGATGCAGATTGAAATGGTTAGAAAATGTGGCCGGGCATGGTGGCTCACGCCTGTAATCCGAGCACTTTGGGAGGCGGAGGCAGGTGGATCACCTGAGGTCAGGAGTTCAAGACCATCCTGGCCAACATGGTAAAACCCCGTCTCTACTAAAAATACAAACATTAGCAGGTGTGGTGGTGTGCGCCTGTAATCCCAGTTACTTGGGAGGCTGAGGCAGGAGAATTGCTTGAACCCAGGAGGCCGAGGTTGCAGTGAGCAGAGATCGCGCCATTGCACTCCAGCCTGGGGAACAAGAGTAAGACAACATCTCAGAAAAAAAAAAAAAGAAGAAGAAGAAAAGAAATGGTTAGAGAATGCAAGGCCCTGGGTTAGTCATTAGCCTTTGTTTTTCAGAAGGACAAGAAATAAGGTGGGGAAATTTTTACATACCAGTGGCCATAAAATTTAAGTTAAATCTTGACTTATTCTGTATCTTGGCCCGCTAAAACTGGGTTTCAGTTTGTTTTGATTTTCTATAAGGGGCAAGGAGCTTTTCCTTCCTCCTAGAAAGGTCATTTTCATAACTGTGAGAATTGTCACTTTGCAACCTTGAAACCTTGAGTCTGATCATGTTTATTACTAGAACCTACATCTGTTTGAGGGTTTGTTGTGGAAAACTGTCTTTGTTCCAGGAAGTCGTAAACCACATTGATCCTAAGATGCTGACTTCACTCCTGGACCGAATAGTTATTAACCCCAGTGGCATTACTATTCTAGCTCTAATTAACTCTACCAATATGAAAACATCTGAGGGTTCTCTGAAAATCAGGAAGCTATCTAAAGGCATTCCTTCTTGTAAAACACACACACACACACACACACACACACACACCCCACATCAATTAATAAGTAAATCTAGGCTGGGTGCCATGGCTCATGGCTGTAATCCTAGCACTTTGGGAGGCCAAGACAGGATTGCTTGAGCCCAGGAGTTCGAAACAAGCCTGGGCAACATAGAGAGACCTTGTCTCTACAAATACTTTAAAAATTAGCCAGGAGTGGTGACACATGCCTGTGGTCCCAGCTACTTGGAAGGCTGAGGCAGGAGGATCACTTGAGCCCAGGAGGTCGAGGCTGTAGTGAGCCGTGGTTGTGCCACTGCACTCCAACCTGGGTGACAGAGCGAGACCCTGTCTCAAAAGTAAATCTACACTCTACTTTATTTTATTTTATTTTATTTTATTTATTTATTTTAGACAGAGTCTTGCTCTGTTGCCCAGGCTGGAGTGCAGTGGCGCAATCTCTGCTCACTGCAACCTCCGCCTCCCAGGTTCACACCATTCTCCCGCCTCAGCCTCCCGATTAGCTGGGACTACAGGCGCCCGCCACCAGGCCCGGCTAGTTTTTTTTGTATTTTTAGTAGAGACAGGGTTTCACCGTGTCAGCCAGGATGGTCTCGATCTCCTGACCTCGTGATCCACCCGCCTCGGCCTCCCAAAGTGCTGGCATTACAGGTGTGAGCCACCGCGCCTGGCCAATCTACACTCTAAACTGCAGACCCAAACCAAGTAATCCACACAAATATCTAGGACAAGAAAAGCTCCCTGGGAGGGTTTCACCACTTATCAGTAGATCGGTCAGAGCAGATTTGGAGGTCGAGGAAGAAGCCCCTTGGGCAGGGGAAATGTCTCATTCCCCCACAGTGTTTCAGTAGCAAGGACAGCTTCACAGCTCTGACACATTTTTTTCTTTTAGACAGAGTCTCGCTGTGTCACCCAGGCTGGAGTGCAGTGGTGCAATCTCGGCTCACTGCAACCTCTGCCTCCCGGGTTCAAGCAATTCTCATGCCTCAGCCTCCCGGGTAGCTGGGATTACAGATGCCCTCCACCATGCCTGGCTAATTTTTGTATTTTTAGTAGAGATGGGTTTTCACCATGTTGGCCAGGCTGATCTTGAGCTCCTGACCGAATGATCCACCCGCTTAGGCCTCCCAAAGTGCTGGGATTACAGGTGTGAGCTGCCAGCTCTGACACATTTTGAAGGAGGAAGGGCCTAGGAGCTAACACTGACAGTGCTTACCATGTGCCAGGCATGGGGCCAGGTGCCCATCGATGCCTCAGCACAACCTCATGAAGTTGGCATCATTATGTCCCTATTACTGTTGGGGACATTTCAGCACAGAAAGCTTAAGTGACTTCCCAAAGTCACACAGCTAGCGGGTGTCTCAGATTCCATGCCTTTGGCCACTGCAGTTTACTGATAAGAGGGAGCCATTCTTTTGGTCAACAAATATTTGAGCCGGGCGCGGTGGCTCACACCTGTAATCCCAGCACTTTGGGAGGCCGAGGTGGGCGGATCACTTGAGGTCAAGAGTTCGAGACCAGCCTGGCAACATGGTGAAACCCCTTCTCTACTAAAAAAATACAAAAATTAGCCAGGCATGGTGGCTCATGCCTGTAATCCCAGCTACTTGGGAGGCTGAGGCACGAGAATTGCTTGAACCCAGGAGGCAGAGGTTGTGGTGAGCCAGGAGCATGCCACTGCACTCCAGCCTGGGCGATAGAGTGAGATTCAAAGTCTAAAAAAAAAAAACAAACAAAAAACCACAAACATTTGAACATCTACCATAAATTAGGTAATAAGGAAGCTACATAAACCAATACGGCCTTTGCTCTTGAGAGGGGAAAATGTAATGGGGGTAAATTACTAGGGGAAAACAAGATAAGCACATAAGTAAACAGTAAAGCAGGACAAGATTCAGCTTCCTAAGAAGGGAACATAAATTTTTTCTTTTCTTTTTTTTTTGAGACGGCATCTTGCTCTGTCACCCAGGCAGGAGTGTAGAGGCACTACCTCGGCTCACGGCAACCTCCGCCTTCCAGGTTCAAAAGATTCTCCTGCCTCAGCCTCTTGAGTAGCTGAGATTACAGGCGCACGCCACCATGCCCGGCTAATTTTTGTATTTTTTTTTAGTAGAGACAGGGTTCGCCATGTTGGCCATACTGGTCTCAAACTCCTGAACTCAGGTGATCCACCCACCTCAGCCTCCCAAAGTGCTGGGATTACAGGTGTGAGCCACCATGCCCAGCCAGTAAATTTTTTCTATGGGAGTTCAGAGGAGGGAAGAGAAGCCCTCAGCCTACACCTGGTGAGGAAGATGAAGAGGTTTCACTCAGGAGGTAGAAGCTGAGCTGGATCTTAAGGAAGGGCAGTTTATTGGCCAGGAGATGCTTGGGGAAGGACATAAGTCACCTTACGCTCAGAAAAAGATGTGACATCTTGGGGAGGCCCATTTGACCCAAGGGTTCTCATCACGGACTAAAGTGAATTGAAGGTGAGAGGTCAGGTGGAACAGAGCATGAACCAAGACCCAGGTCTCCTGGTGCCCAGTCTCAGGCTCCTTTCACTACTCCTCACTGCCTCGTCACCCAGAACATTCCCCCGTTTAGGCTGTGGGCTCCTGATCTTAGTCACAACTGCCCCGAGGCTCAAGGACTTCAGCTCTGAGGTGAAAGGTTGGGTTGCTTTCGAATTCCTTCCCAGGCTCCTGTGTCCAACTGGAGGTAGACTTCCAGCTCTGGCCACCTGCCAAGAAGCTGAAGGTGACTTCAGGCAAGCCACAGCCTCAGTTTCCTCATTTGTACTGCTCTTCTGGCATCTATCACGCCCACCCTGATGGAGTCATGTTAGGAGATCATGCTGCCTTCTCTCTCCTACTAGGCTGCAGTCCCTATTAGAGGAGAATCTGGGTCTCACTAAAAGGGTGAATAAGGTTCAATCCCTAAAGGCAAGGAGTCCAGGGTCAAGGCACGACATGACAAGCACAAAGTCTATAATTTCATGATCACATGGTAAGTGTGGTGATAAGGTAAGCTTAAAAAGAAAGGGGGGCTGGGCGCAGTGGCTCACACCTGTAATCCCAGCAGTTTGGGAGGCCAAGGCAGGAGTGTTGCTTCATCTCAGGAGTTTAAGACCAGCCTGGACCACATAGTGAGACCCTGTCTCTACCAAAAAATAAAAATTCTAAAAAAATCGCCAGGTGTAGTGGCATGTACCTGTAGCCCCAGCTACTGAAGAGGCTGAGGTGGGAGGATTGCTTGAGCCCTGGGGATCAAGGCTGCAGTGAGCTGTGATCACACCACTGCACTACAGCCTGGGCAACAGAGCAAGATCCTGCAGAAAGAAAGGAAAGGTGGCCAGGCACGGTGGCTCACGCCTATAATCCCAGCACTTTGGGAGGCCGTAGGCGGGTGGATCACCTGAGGTCGGGAGTTCAAGACCAGCCTGACCAATATGGAGAAACCTTGTCTCTACTAAAAATTCAAAATTAGCCAGGTGTGGTGGCGCACACCTGTAATCCCAGCTACTCGGGAGGCTGAGGCAGGAGAATCGCTTGAACTTGGGAGGCGGAGGTTGTGGTGAGCCAAGATGGCGCCATTGCACTCCAGCCTGGGCAACAAGAGCAAGACTCCATCACAAAAAAAGTAATAATAATAATAAAGAAAAATAAAGAAAGAAAGGGAAGGAAAGAAGGGAGGGAGGGAGGGAGATACTTAACCCAGTCTGAGAGAGTCAAGGCCTCCTGAGGCTACAGCAGCTAAGCTGAGACTCACTGTTGAGTGGAAGCCAGCCAGTAGAGGGGGGCTGTGAGGTGTGGAGGATCTTCCAGGAAGAGGAAAGGCACAAAGGTAGGACACAGTGTGGGGTCTGCAGAGAACCATAAGCAATTTGTTGGGAGGCCGAGAGTGCTAGAAAGGAGGTAGGAGAGGAAGGACAGGGCCAGGCCTTGTAAGATTTTACTTATGTATATTATATGCCTTTGTGTCATCCAAATACATAACAAAATGCATTCTATACAGTGGGCCTTCCATAAATACTTTCAAAAATGAATACGATGATTGGCTGGGCGTGGTGGCTCACACCTGTAATGCTAACACTTTGGGAGGCTGAGGCGGGTGAATCACCTGAGGTCAGGAGTTTGAGACCAGCCTGGCCAACATGGTGAAACCCCATCTCTACTAAAAATACAAAAATTAGCTAGGCGAGATGGTGGGTGCTTGTAATCCCAGCTACTTGGGAGGCTGAGACAGGAGAATCACCTGAACCCAGGAGGCAGAGGTTGCAGTGAGCCAAGATTGCACCACTGCACTCCAGCCTGGACGACAGAGCGAGACTCCGTCTCAAGAAAAAAAAAAAAAAAAGAGTACAATGAGATGATGGATTAAATGTTCTCGAAAGTTCTTTCCAGCCCTTGAAAGCCAGTGTTGCCACTCAAGGCCCCGCTGAGATTTGAGTTCCAAATATTCCCCAGTCTTTAATGGAAGAGTATCAAACCTCATCTATGGGCTTATCTCACAAAATGTTTGCTCTGTAGAGGTATCTGTTCGGGCAGGAGACAAGGCAATGTTAAATTCACCCTAAAGGTTTAAGTTGTACCAGTTGGCTGGGTTTTCTCTGCCCCCCAGGTGAGTTGTCAAAACCAAGCCAGGCCCAGAGACAGTCACGCTGGAGGGGTAAGAACTATGGCCTTTTGCCAGGCGCGGTGACTCACACCTATAATCCCAGCACTTTGGGAGGCCGAGGGGGGCAGATCACCTGAGGTTGGGAGTTCAAGACCAGCCTGGTCAACATGGAGAAAGCCTGTCTCTACTAAAAAAAAAAAAAAATACAAAATTAGCCAGGCGCGGTGGCTACTACTTAGGAGGCTGAGGTAGGAGAATCACTTGAACCCAGGATGCGGAGGTTGTGGTGAGCTGAGATCGCGCCATTGCACTCCAGCCTGGGAAACAAAAGTGAAACTCCGTCTCAACAAAGAAAAAAAAAGAGGACTATGGCCTTTTAACCCACAGGGAAGGGTTCAAGATCCAGGAGAAGCCAGATTGAAGCCAGAAGGAATAAGATAAGGATTCAGACTGATTGGGCTTACCTCCTCCCCTGAGCTCTGAGGCCAGGTGTTCCTGAGATAGAGGAGAGGGTGGAGAGCTGCTGCCGGAGCAGAAGGCAGAGGAAGACAGTACATTCATCTGTGGTGAGCTTTCTCTACACAGACACGGGAAGTGGGACAGGGGTTCAAGAGGAAGTCAGTAGGAAGAGTTTATCCCCTGCACAACAGTTCATGAATGAAGGGCCTTCAAGTGCTTACTGTAAGGCCAGCCCCGTGCCCCAGAAGGCTGCAGGGATTGTGTGCGCCCTCTCCCTATCCATCCCCAACACGAGAATGCTAAATGCTGCAGTGAGGTCTTCAGAATAGAAGCCCTAACCATTGTCTAGGATTCCAGGTACTTTCTGGGTAAAGAAATTAGGGGCAGTGAAAAATTGGAAGTTGGACGGCTGGGCATGGTGACTCACGCCTGTAATACCAGCACTTTGAGAGGCTGAGGCAGGAGGATTGCTTGAGCCTAGAAGTTTGAGACCAGTCTGGGAAACACAGTGAGACCATATCCTTAAAAATAGGCCGGGTGCGGTGGCTCACGCCTGTAATCCCAGCACTTTGGGAGGCCGAGGCAGGTGGATCACTTGAGGTCAGGAGTTCAAGACCAGCCTGACCAACATAATGAAACCCATCTCTATTAAAAACAAAAAAATTTTGGGGTGTGGTGGCTCACACCTGTAATCCCAGCACTTTGGGAGGCCGAGGCAGGTGGATCACCTGAGGTCAGGAGTTCGAGACCAGCCTGGCCAACATGATAAAATCTTGTCTTTACTAAAAATACAAAAAATTAGCTGGGCAGGGTGGTGGGTGCCTGTAATCCCAGCTACTCGGGAGGCTGAGGCAGGAGAATCACTTGAACCCAGGAAGCGGAGGTTGCAGTGAGCCAAGATCGCACCATTGCACCCCAGCCTGGGCAATAAGAGTGAAACTCCATCTCAGAAAAACAAAACAAAATAAAACAAAACAAAGAAACAAAAAAAAATTCGCTGGGCATGGTGGTGTGCACCTGTAGTCCCAGCTACTTGGGAGGCTGAGATGGGAGAATCACTTGAACCCAGGAGGCAGAGGTTGCAGTGAGCCAAGATTGCACCACTGCACTCGAACCTGGGCAACAGGGCAAGTCTCCATCTCAAAATAAATAAATAAATAAATAAGTAAAAATAAAAGTAAAAAATTAGCCAGCCGTGGTGGCTGGCACACACCTATGGTCCCGGCTGCTTGGGAGGTCAAAGCTGGAGGACCACTTGGAGCCCAGGAGTTCAAGGCTACAGCAAGCTATGATCTTGCCACTGGACTCCAGCCTGGGCGACAGAGACCCTGTCTCAAAAATAACAACAGGCCGGGCACGGTGGCTCACGCCTGTAATCCCAGCACTTTGGGAGGCCGAGGCGGGTGGATCACGAGGTCAGGAGATCGAGACCATCCTGGCTAACACGGTGAAACCCCATCTCTACTAAAAATACAAAAAATTAGCTGGGCGTGGTGGCAGGCACCTGTAGTCCCACCTACTCGGGAGGTTGAGGCAGAAGAATGGCGTGAACCCAGGAGGCAGAGCTTGCAGTGAGCCAAGATCGCACCACTGCACTCCAGCCTGGGTTACAGAGTGAGACTCCATCTCAAAAAAAAAAAAAAGTGCTATTCGGTGCTATAGGGTTATGATAGGTTTATGGTGAACTGAACTGCCAAGTAACAGCCTTAGGGCTGTGTGGCCACAACAGAGTACCAGGTAGCCCATCTACCAAGGAGCAGAGGGATCTTCCAGGTGAGGATTCTGCACCTTGGCGAGTTAGACCTTCGGTCCCCTTGGTTATTCCCCGTGCACCAGACCCCAAGGCCATCCCTTGCTCTTTTCTGAAAATTCAGGGAGAAGCTAAGGTTTGAGGCACGTAGTGTCGAAACCACAATGACAGATCTTATCATTTGCATTAGTCCTCTCACCCCACGCAAGAACAAATTTGGACTAGGAACGGTGGTTCATGCCTATAATCCCAACACTTTGGGAGGCTGAGGTGGTAGGATTGCTTGAGCCCAGGAGTTTGGGAGCAGCCTATGCAGCAGAGCAAGACCTAGTCTCTACAAAGAATTTAAAAATTAGCCAGGTGTGGTGGTGCACACCTGTGGTCCCAGCTACTCAGGAAGCTGAGCTGGGTGGATCACTTGAGCCTGGGAGTTTAAGGCTGCAGTGAGATGTGATGACACCACTGCACTCCAGCCTGGGTGACAGAGCAACACCCTGTCTCAAAAAAAAGAAGGAAAAGAACAAATTTGATCTAGGGACCCGCCAGTGCTCAGTGATGTTCTCCTTCATTAAGTAATGTTCTTCCACTTTCTACTTCAAGTATCCATCCCTCAGTGGGGCCCGCACACAAGGCACTTTTGTAATCCTACACATCACAACCACCCCAGGCACACATCCAACAATGACCGTTCACCATTTATAGCCGGCTCCTTGACTCCCTCCATGTGGGTCTTGCCTCTCCTGTCGCGGCCTCTCTAGCATTCTGCCTTTCTTTAGTTGGAGCTCTATTCCTAAGGACATGGTGATCTCTTTTGTCCCAAAGTCATTCCAAGAGAAGCATCTGCACTTTATAATTTTTCTTTCCCTCTTCTGCAAGGTCCCTAACATATAGGGAACTATTGTCTATACATTGTCAATTACTGACTGGGCGCGGTGGCTCATGCCTGTAATCCCAACAGTTTGGGAGGCCGAGGCGGGCGGATCACCTGAGGTCAGGAGTTCGAGACCAGCCTGGCCAACATGGTGAAACCCCATCTTTACTAAAAATATAAAAATTAGCCAGGCTTGGTGGTGGGTGCATGTAACCCCAGCTACTCGGGAGGCTGAGGCAGGGGAATCACTTGAACCCAGGAGGCGGATGTTGCGGTGAGCCGAGATCACACACTGCACTCCAGCCTGGGTGGCAGAGTGAGAAATTGTCAATTACTGATTTGCAGATAGGCAGTGGCAGGGTGTTTGGCCAAGGGGTGAGGTGATCACCTACGTTAAGGGGACAGTTCCTGCAGTTAGACCGTGACCAACACTGAAATCCTGGCTCTGCTCCCTACCTGTGGAAGGTTGGACAAGTGACTGAATTTTTTTTTTTTTTTAGAGATGGAGTCTCTCGCTGTTGCCCAGGCTGGAGTGTAGTGGCACGATCTCAGCTCACTGTGACCTCCGCCTCCTGAGTTCTAGTGATTCTCCTGCCTCAGCCTCCCAAGAAGCTGGGACTACAGGTGCGTGCCACCAAGCCCAGCTGATTTTTGTATTTTTAGTAGAGACGGGGTTTCACCGTGTTGGCCAGGCTGGTCTCAAAGTCCTGACCTCAGGTGATCCACCTGCCTCAGCCTCCCACAGTGCTAGGATTACAGGCATGAGGCCACCGCGCCCGGCTGACTGAATCTTTATGTGCCTCGGTTTCCAGTTTCCTTTTAATGGAGTATTGATAATAGTAGCCACTCCATTGGACTTTTGGGAGGATTGTTTGTTAATATTTTTTAAATATTTATGCCAGTACCTGGCATATAACAAGAAAAGTGTTGGATAGGCCAGGCGCGGTGGCTCACGCCTGTAATCGCAACAGTTTGGGAGGCCGAGGTGGGCGGATCACGAGGTCAGAAGATCGAGACCATCCTGGCTAACACGGTGAAACCCCGTCTCTACTAAAAAATACAAAAAAATTAGCCGGGTGTGGTGGTGGGCGCCTGTAGTCCCAGCTACTCAGGAGGCTGAGGCAGGAGAATGGTGTGAACCCAGGAGGCAGAGCTTGCAGTGAGCCGAGATTGCGCCACTGCACGCCAGTCTGGGCAACAGAGCAAGACTCTGTCTCGAAAAAAAAAAAAAGAAAAGTGCTGGATAAATGGTGTCTTTTCTCATCCTCTTGGAGTATTAGAAACATCATTGTTTGGTATTACTGTGGGAAACTAAATGTGACCCCATTTCTGTCTGGTTTAGCCTTTCCCTAAGCAGTGAGGGCAAGCTTGGTTGCACATCAGAGTCACCTAGGAAGCTTTCAAAATTTATTTTACTATTTTTTTTTTAAGAGACAGGGTCTCCTTCTGTTGCCCAGGCTGGAGTGCAGTGGCATAATCATGGCTTGCTGCAGCCTCAAATTCCTGGGCTCAAGTGATCCTCTCACCTCAGGCTCCTGAGTAGCTGGAATTACAGGCACACACCACTGTGTCAGGCTTGTGTTTTTTGAAACACAGATTTTAGGCCGGGCGCAGTGGCTCACACATGTAATCCCAGCACTTTGGGAGGCTGAGGCGGGCGGATCACTTGAGGTCAGGAGTTCAAGACCAGCCTGGCCAACATGGTGAAACCCCGTCTCTACTAAAAATACAAAAAATTAGCCGGGCGTGGTGGCAGGCGCCTGTAGTCCCAGCTACTCGGGAGGCTGAGGCAGGAGAATGGCGTGAACCTGGGAGGCAGAGCTTGCAGTGAGCCGAGATTGAGCCACTGCACTCCAGCCTGGGCGACACAGTGAGACTCCGTCTCAAAAAAAAAAAAAAAAAAAAAAGGAAGGAAGAAAGAAAGAAACAGATTTTAGGGTATTATTGGAAGAAAGAAAGAAACAGATTTTAGGGTATTATTGGTTTATTTATTCAACAACAATTTGAGCACGTCCTATGTGGTATAATGATCACTGAGAATAGGGTAGGTAGTGAAATAGACAAAGTGCCTCCTCCGCGCAAACGTACATCCTAGTGAGGGAGATAGACCAGCAAACTTGTTCTGTAAATGGCCAGACAGTAAACATTTTAGGCTTTGAGGGCCACACAGTCTCTGTGGAAACCATTCAGCTCTGCCCTTATAGCAGGAAAGCAGGTGTAGACAATAGGTAAATGAATGGGCTTGGCTGTGTTCTGATAGTATTTTATTTATGGACACTGAAATTTTTTTTTGTTTGGGGGGGTGGATGGAGTCTCGCTCTGTTGTCTCGACTGGACTGCAGTGGCACAAGCTCAGCTCACTGCAACCTCCACCTCCCTGGTTCAAGCGATTCTCATATCTCAGCCTCCCGAGTAGCTGGGATTACAGGCGCCCGCCACCATACCCAGCTAATTTGTGTATTTTTAGTAGAGACGGGGTTCACCATGTTGGCCAGGCTGGTCTTGAACTCCTGATCTCAGGTGATCAGCCCGCCTCGGCCTCCCAAAGTGTTGGGATTACAGGCGTGAGCCACCACGCCTGGCCTACCGAAATTTAAATTTCATATGCTTTTAGTTTTCACGGGTTAGGAAATACGATTCTTTTGTTTTCTTTGTTTTTTGTTTTGTTTTGGTTTTAGACAGGGTCTCACTGTCACCCAAGCTGGAGTACATTGGCACAATCATGGCTCATTGCAGCCTTGACCTCCTGTGCTCAAGGGATGCTCTCACCTCAGACGCCTGAGTAGCTGGGACTACAGATATTGATTTTTTTTTCCAACCATTTAAAAATGTAAAAACAGCTGGACGTGGTGGCATGTGCTTGTAGTCCCAGCTGCTCAGGAGGCTGAGGTGGGAGGATCCTTGAGCCCAGGTATTTGAGGCTGCAGTGAGCTGTGATTGTGCTACTGCACTTCCTTTTGAGGAAGACACTTTCTCAAAAATAGTAATAAAAATAAATAAATAAATATGTGAAAACCTGTCTTAGCTAGCAGGCCATACAAAAATGGGTAGTAGGTCAGGGTAATCCCTGAGATGGTCAGTGAGTAAACAAGTACAAAATATCATTAAAGGGCCAGACATGGTGGCTCACGCCTGTAATCCCAGCACTTTGGGAGGCTGAGGCGGGCGGATCACCTGAGGTCAGGAGTTCGAGACGAGCCTGGCCAATATGGTGAAACCCCATCTCTACGAAAAATACAAAAATTATCCAGGCGTG